>NC_000011.10:99899697-100202727 GCF_000001405.40 Homo sapiens | reverse complement strand
TGAAATAATACCTATGAGGGAAGAAGGGTAAAAAGGGCTGTTAAAAATGTAAAATTCTATTTAAATGTTTTAGCTTAGGTCTTACTCAGACAATGAAACTGTTTCAAACTTATTATAAAACAAACAATTAAGGTTTTAATAATCTGACTTATACGGCTGCTTTTAATATAAATATATAAATATAAATATATATCTATATTTAATAGAAATATGTTTTCTGGCAAAGGGGCAGGAGATTGCCCATGATAGTGAAATGTATAAATACTTGAAAATTGGATCTCATATAGTGTAAATGTAACCACATAATCATAATATAAACTTCATAAGAATGAGTAATATTAGAAGAATACATGAAAATGTTACCGGCAATGGAAATAATTGACTCACAAATTCTAAAATGGATGAAGGATAATTACATTTTTCACAAGATATTACTAAGTTTACTAAGTAGGAAATTAAAAATGTGATCTTGCTAAATAGTTCTAGATATGCCCTAGATCTGATAAATGATAATGTATTGGAGTTCAGTCCTAGTTTGGATAACTCTTGTATCCAACAGTTGTTTAAGTTTGGGAAAGTTGTTTATCTTTCTAAATTTCTTTTTCTTGTTTTGTCAAACAACAATGACAACAACAATAACACAATTTCTATACCATAGCGTATTTGAGGGAAGTAAATGAAATAATATTTGAAAAGTCTAGCATATTGCCAGGTATCTATTAGGCATTCAACAGGTGAGAGATGTAATTCTGGAGCTGAGGCCAGGGGTCTGGTCTTTATAATCACCCCTGTACACTAATCATCTCTATGCATTGAGCATGAGATTGGGGTGGAGCACAGCTTGAACCAGATAACTCTCTTTGACTGAAGGCAATTCCCAGAGCGGAACACTGCTGAGAGCTGTCAGCCCCCAATATTCTCCATAGCTTGGGGAAGGAGTGGTTCAGTCTTGAAGGGAGAACCTGGGCAACACACCACAGTATCTACTACACTGGCTTATGGTATCTTCAGTTAAAGTTGACACATTAGTTATCCTTCCAATTTCAATTCATTGGAATAGGCTCACGAGTAATATGAATAGTGAAAGACAAGTAAAGGAAAACAGGAGGGAGGTAGAGATATATTGAAAAATTATCAAGATGTGAACAGCAGTCCCTTAAGATATAAATAAAAGAAAGTACCGATTATGTGTAAAGTTGAATACTGAGAAAAGATGGTTATTAGGCACCAAAGATAATTTAGGTACTCATTTCAGTAACTTGAACATTTGATACAAGTGGAAAGTGATAATGTTATAAAGAATGGTTTTGATAATATTCATTTATTTGGTTATTCACTCATTCTAAGCTTTTAATAGCATGTATATAATTAAGACTTTTTTTTTTTGCCTTCTGAAGTTTCTGTCAGATTGGAAAGGGAAAATGGTTTTAAAGCCAGGAGCCATTGATTGCTCTTCAATGTACAATTACAGGATAATCAATAGAAATTTGCATGAGAAGTTTGTTATGTATATCAGAAAGACTGTTATGTCTAAGTAAGTCATTGTCAAAAGTAACTTGGAGTTAGGTGAGAATTTGGTTTAATAAACATCACTGAAATAAATCGGATTGACTTTACTGTCAAAGTTAACAACAGTGAATGCAACAACCCACTGTGGCCTACCAGTGATCACATTTCCCAATAATAGGCACTTCATTCCAGATAAATTCATGTTTTTGTTGGATTAAAAACAATCAACTCAGTGAGAATATAGGATTATTAAAAACTAGTCTGAGTTTATATAGGTATGAAATGGAAAAACAACATTGGAAAAACACAAAACCTCAGAAAGAGAAAACATATACAGTCCTAGATACCTGTAAGCATTTTTTAAGTTTCTGGAGTTACTGAGCTAGAAGCATATTTAACTTTTGAAATTTACAACCTAGGAGAGCAAATTCTAAGGAGTAAGGAGTGTCTTCTATTTCTCATTCTTCAATTTTTTTTCTATCCAATAACCTAAAATATCCTAGCTGGCTCTGGGAATTACGGTACTCTTATCCCCTCAGAGATTACAGAATCCAAGGTATTGATCTAATATTTCCAAGCATGCCCCCGACAAAAATTGCCTTTCTCTATCAGAGAGCTTTATATTCTCTCTCTGACAATAATAACAAAGACCTGCAGTTCTACACCAAAATAAAAATTTGCAAGGATACTAGTAACTATTCATAGCACACATAATGTTATGAGACCTGTCATAAAGATAAAACAGCTATCAAAAATGGAACTTCCAAATTAATAAAAATGCTCTGTATACCTACGACAATATAGGAAGTTTGTTTTGGTAGATTATATTTAGATGAACAAAGTTCAGCCTATGAATTGGATGGCTAAGCCTGTCTTTTTATATGGGACAACTTGAAGACGTTACCTAATTTTACTAATTTTGACAATCTACAGAAAGTGAAGAGACGCACTTCACATTTTGCTATGTGTGAAAAATCTGCTAATTAGAGTAAAGTGGAGATGGGCAATCAATACAGCACTACTTTCCAGTACTGACTGCCCTGTGACCCATAGGAAGTAAGGGTCTCCCAATAACAGACTGTCTTAGGTGTCATCAAGGCAGTCATCTTTCATTCAATTCCAAACTGTGCTAACGTGATATTCCATTTTGTGTAAAAAGTAAAAAAGCAAGGAAACAAACTATTCTGTTATGAAAACAGATTTTAACAGAATTTTATGCAGTATTTAATTATATTAAAACCTCTGAAATAATGTAGCAGTTGGCTAAGCAGAGAAAACGCTTTATATCAGGTTTTGTTTTTATTGAAACAGCATTGGCTAGCTGAATGGCTGTTTTATGGACATTCTTAGTACAAAGTGATGAAAAATAAAATTACTTATTAGCCCTTGCTTTTAGGATCCCTGCAGTTTATCATCAATACATGAAATATTATAGAATAACATAATTAAATGGCATATATTGATCATATTCATAAACTATATGAAACAAACATATATAATACCAAAAAAAAGATGGACATTCTTATTTGCTTTCGGAATGATTTCTACTTTGAGAAGACAGTGAGTGGAGACACATTTTTTAGCACATACAAGTCAGGGAGAATGAATATGGTGCACTTTTCTGGGATAGTCTGAATATTCTAAAACCTTTGAAGGTAATCTTTCTTCGTGAGGGTCCCCAAGTTTTGGTTGATGGTTACTGTATGTTTCTGTCCTATTAAAATTACACAATTTTTTAAGTTAGGTGAAAGATTGGGAGGGAACAGTAATATAGCAAATATGTGGCGGTCAGGAGGTTGGAATAGAAAATGGGTGGATTACTAGGTTGCCAGCGTTCAGAGCAGGCCAAAGAACCAAGAGGTAGGATCTGAACTGATGAGAAAGGATAGGCCCTTAGTGAGATAGGGAAAGGGTAGCGCTCGGAGTCCATGGGACCATTTACATGAAAGTGTGAATGCTACTAGCAAACATAATGAGTCTAAGAGACTGTGAGCCTTTGTTAGATCTTCCGCCCTTTGATACACTTCCTGTTTAGTGGTGAAATGGCTCCAGGACTTCGCATGCCAAGTTGATGAAGAAGAGGATGAAGCATTTGCTTATGAAACGCTTACAGCTTTGTGCCTTAGTAAACTGGCAGTATACCCAAGCATTCCATTGATTTTTACACAATTAATATTTATCAATCAGGAAACAGAATGTTGCCAATTGAGCACTTACTATGTTCTATTCAGAGACTTTTACTCCTTAGGAAATAGCTAATTCTGAAGAAGATAAACTAGGAGTAGAAGTGTCTGTAATAAGAAAATTAATATAGGCTAGAGTTTTCCAGCTAATATAAAATTCTCAAGGCACTAAGGGGTTTATATTCTGTCTTTCTATTCACCTAATATTCCACAAAAATTCTGCATATGAATCAGGCATGTTTCCTTATGAGTCTCATGCTTGGCATACAGGTGATCATAATTACTCCTACTTTCCAATCTTCTGACATTCAGAAGTGACTGATAATGAAACGAACTTTAGAGGAGTGAGTCCTCATCACTTAAAGGGTTAGGACATACACTAGTGATACTGAAAGAGACTTCCGGTACCAGCCTAGGCCAAACTCAATAATCTCTAAGATCCAGCACAACCCTAAGATAACAATATCTTTTCTCACCTTAGGTTGCCTTCCTTTTTCTTCTTTGACTATTCTAATGCTACTCACTGAGGTCTAGGTCAGGTAGCATGTTTTCCCCAAATAACATTACTTCATATGGCTGTTAAGAGGAATCAGTGAGCTATTGTGTGTGTGTGTGTGTGTCTAGACAGACATACATACAGTATCCATCTATCTTAGCTCAGTGCTTGGCACATAGGTGTTCAATTATTTATTTTGCTTTTCTCCACAATGACAAAATATCACATTAATCTCTTTCTAGTCTTCAACAAAATTTGGCTGTGATTTTAAAAGTTAGTTAGTAATTGTTTTTATGGTCATATTTTTCTTGAATTGCTTAATGTCTTGCATTATCTTTATGTTTACTGAAGACTGGATTCAAACCTTCCTTTTATTTTTATTTCTCACAGTTTATAGACAAAGGCTTAACACATAAGAAGTGGTCAGTGAATATGGAGAGGGTTTATAAAGGAGAGTGAACAAATGTGTAGTTTAAAAATCACATGATATTGAATCTTATTACCCCAATTTATGTGGCCTGGAAAAGTCTTATTCTTCAGTTTCCTCATTAAAAAAATGGGCTCAAAATTCCCATTCTGCCTTCCTACATGTATTGCTATAACCAGAGAATTGGGTAAATGTGAAGGACCATACAGCTATATAGCACTTTGGCTCAGTTGCCTATTTGGTTGCAATTTATCAAGTTCACAATGAAAGGGCAATTCTTCTCTAGTGGACCATTCTGACAACAAATGCGTGAGATATTTTTCTGTGTTAAAAAAGCAGCAAATTGCAGGCCACCATGATATTCAGTGTAACACTTCTTTATGCATTATAAGGATAGAAACTTTCTTATATCCTATTTGAATAATTAGAGGACTTCAAGTCACTGGAAAACAGTGGCTCAGCACAGTCCTCCATTAAGACTGTGGCTCTGGGGCCACATGGCAATGCTCAATAGCTCAGATGCTATTCAGATATCCTGAGAGGAATCAGAGGTTCTTGTAGACCTCTGACCAACATAAACTCTCAAGTCAGGACACCATAGTAAATGCTTTTATTTGGTTACAGGATGGTTATTTAAGGTCAACACTTACAACGATTATCTCCTTATTATAACCTCTACTTAACAGGTCTACACTGAATGTAAAATCCACAAACTAGCCAATCCCTGCTCCACACAGCTGTCAGAATTATCTTCCTAAAAACAAATCTGAATCATGTGAATCCCTGCTGTACTCAAAATACAAATCAAATTTTATAGCTCCGAAATCAGTGCCTTTGAGGCCTCTGCTGCTTTCCTTTAAACTTATTCAACAAACAGTGACTTATTGTCTACTATACACCCTCACTGGTTCCTCACTGTTCCCAAAACACGCACTAAGCTCTTCTGCCCTTCTTTGTTTGCCCAACGTGCTCGCTCTGTCTGAGATGCAGCTTCTCCTATGCACCTGCTGAAATCCTTCCATTTGAATGGATCTGAGGCCAGGTCCATTTCAAATACCAACCCCTTCTAACAAACAGCTGAATGCACATAGTTCTCTGGTGTAGCTTTATTATAGCAGATCATAGCCCATACTGCAATTTCTACCCTTAAATGGTGCTCTCTTAGGTGTGAAGGGCTATGCCTTTTATTTTGGATCCCCATCCCCCAACAGCATTTAGCTTGTAGAACTAAAAAGATTTAAAATCTTAAGAATATACTCACTAGCTTATCACATTCAGTTTATTCATAAAATTTGCCAAAAAAAAGGATTTGGATGAATTGGATCAAATGTTTATGTACTAACTGATTGCTTCTCCCCTTTCAACAGTGACTTCCAATAATGGATTCACTCCAAATTAGTCAAATTGCTGAGTTTGTAAAACATGGCCTAAGAGGGCAACATAAATAGTAGAAGCATTTTCATTATGAATGTTTTAATTTAAACTTAATTTTTAATTTAAAGCAATACTATTATTTTTTAGCCTGATGTGATCATATGTTTATGCACTCTGTTGAAATGGAGTTCAAAGCAATCATCTATTTTAAAACATAAAAATGTGCATTGTATATAGATGTGGATGTATACAATGTACATTGTATATAGATTGTATATGAAGGCTACATAAAATAATTGACTAGAGATTTATATGCAAGCTAATGTCTGTGTATAAAAGATACCAGTACAACAGTTGAAAAATAGGGAACATCATTAAGTCATATTTTGGCATCTACAAAATAATACAAAATATTGTTATCTCTTTTTCCCACCTGAGAGGTTTAGTTAGTTTAAGTTACCTCATGCAGTGGTAATGTGTTTTTCTTCTGATTCACCCTCATTCACTCACCCACTGGCAGGGTTCTGTCCCAGGACAGTTAGCCTGGACAGTGCTCCAATCATAGGCACACTCTATTCCTGCTTAAGTCCCGGAATCCCATTTTCATTTTTTTACTCTGCTGGGATAAGTTAGACACCTTAGGAGATCCTTTAATGACTCTTCTTGGAAACTCAAAGCAGACCTTGAGTCACCCCACTTGGCTCTCTTCTCAGCCCCATCCTGTCCCTCTGACTCCCACAGTCTGTCCTTGGTCTCACAGAAAGAAGGTATCCACAAGCCCAGAAGGCCTCCCAAATCTGCCTTTATAACACTTTTATATGTTTTCTCCTAAAGCATTATTTTCCAGACATAATTTACATGAGAAGGGCAGAAGGGAAACAGAATGTTGTTCTTTCCATTCTTTGCCTTTTTATTGTCATACAATGGTATTTTCTCTGGTGTGTGTCCTTGAAGCCAACCAAGACTCAGTGTTTGAAGTAACTGAGAGAAAGGTGATAGATAATTTCTTATACATGCCATAGTTTTGAAGCTTCCATATGTTTTAAAATACATATGCATACTAAAAGTATATTTTGGCTTTATACCTTAAAGCTAAATGTTTTTCTCCCTTCTCAGTACCATGATTTGCTTTCTTCTTCTATCTCAGAGTTTATTGTTACTGTCTCTAATCCAGAGCCTAATTTCAAAGTGGGTTGTAATTATATGGGTTTGCGTGGAATAAGGAGTCCATTTGGCACTCTCTGGGGCAAGGAAAGCATATATGCAAAGAAGAATACAGCAGATGTTCTTAACTGCCAACTTCATGGAAAAAAAGGTATTTATTGATACAAATGAATGACATCAACCTAAACATATCTATGTCTAAGAGACAAAAACAATAATTCATGTAACTTCACCAGGTACATTCATTTTTATATTGGTATTGTAAAATAAAGAGAGGGATTACTTATAAGAAGAGGGGCTATTTATTTTTAGATGTATTTTTTCTTTAGATATGTGATCACTCAAAAGGGATGTTTGCAGACAATCCTAAGAAGATATTTTTCTCATGGGATTTTTTAATCAAAATGTGATATTTTAAAATTAAATTTTCTTGGTCTGTTTTACAACATCCATGTTATAAAATGTGTAGGAAAAGTATTGTAGGAAGGAATTATCACCCAAGGTAAAGGAAGAAGGAAAACCATAAAGCAGAGCAAAATGTGTTTAATTTAACACACTCTAAATACTTTACATATAACTTGGATATTAACAGTTAAAATTCGCTCATTTAATGAGATGGTGAACAATGTAGTTGGCAATTGTTTCTTATTTATATACTCTCTCCTATTAATTGGATAGTAAACCAGGAAGAAAGGAATAGTTTTGAAGAAAGTGGGCTAATTTTTGTTACATTGGAAAATGCAACAAAGAGAGCTCATCTTTACTCTTCCACTAATATACATTTACCAAATTCTAAGGTGAGAAGCTATCTTAGAAATTATCTGGTGTAACTTTTTCACTTTGATTTCTCCAGAAATTAATGCCCAGGCAAATCATGTGACTGGCTTTATGTTACACAGCTGACTAGAGATTAAGCTGGGATTTGATCCAGAGAATTCCTGACTTTGGATTTAGGGCTTTTTTTTTTTTTTCCTTGTATCCCATAACCTTTAAAATAAAATCCAATTGACACTGAGTTTAAATACTTGGGCTCACTAAAGCTATGGTTTTCCAATGCTTCTCAAAGTGTTTCAGGATGGATCAACTGATACTAATAAGTATGCAACAGCATTTTAAATCCAATTTGTAGGCAAAAATTGTATTTGGCTCCATCTCTTTAGCCAATATAGAAGGAAGATTCCAGCCAAAGTCGCTCTTTTTCTGCCACCCCAGTTCCATCTGTCTTTCTCCTCCCTCTCTCATTATGTTACTCTATTACATTTTAAATAAGTCCATGTGGGGAAGGGGCCTCTTTTCACTTCTCTAGAGTTAAAGCACTGTGATGGTTCTGTAGGATTTGGTTCAAGAGATTTCCCACTCCATTTGGTTGATTGCCATGTAGGTACACAATATAAAAGAAGATATTAAGAAAAAAATGGCAGAAATGAGTATATCTTTGAATACTGACTTAAGGCTAATGTGCATTTATGACTACGAGTTGTATGTTTAAGCTCTATAGCTTGTAAAAAATTAAAGAAACTCCAAAAATTACTGTTCTTGAGGAGAAGGACAGGCAGGCATTTTATTTATTTATTTTATCATAATTACTGTTAACGATGCTTTAAATAATGAATTGCCACTTTATGTAGCAACATAACTTTTGAGAAGTATTGTGTAAATATTAAACAAAGGTGGCAAAGAAACCAGATTTAAATAATGAGGTATTCTCAGTTTTTTACTGGGGGTTTTAAAATAATTACATATTACTTTCAGTTTGACATAACATAAAATAATGGCAGAAAGTAATTGTTTTTATCAAGTCGATGTTCTGTTTTTTTTTTTCTTAGCACTTCATAGCTAAGCAAGGTCTTACATTTGATTCAAAATTTCTAAAGTTATCATTACTAAAAGAATAAAAGTGTATTCACTTACGGCCCTGATGCTTTCAAAATGTCCACCCTCTTCCTCGAAATCAATAGGCTGTCCTTTCAGAGTCCAGTAGAAAGTGACATCCAAACTAGCATCGTGAATTGCTTTGCAATTAAGGACAATGCTTTCTCCCACTGTCAATTCTGTTCTTTTAGGAGTAAGTTCTATCCTTGTAGGTTCTATAGAAATAAAAATACGTTAATTAAGATAATCAACCTGTTGTGTTACCATACATAATATTTTGCTTGAAATAATTGAGAAAAGAAGAAATCTATACAATACAGTTGCTCCAGATACATATACCAGCTTTTTTACATCTTTATTAGCTTTTGGATGCTAGGGCATATTACCATGTTTTTGTAGGGGAGAAATGATTTAAGAGCCTCTGTTCCTATTAAGAATGTGACTTGGATTTTAAAAAGACAAGAGACTACCTAATTAGAAGCAGCATTTGACATTATGGAAGGAGGAACATTAGAAAAAAAGAAGAGGCTGTAGCCTCTCTGACCACTTTCAAGGATCATTAAGTAAATAAAAGATTTTTTACAATAAAAAGGTTATGTGTTTCAGGAAGAATTCAGAGAGGGTTCACTTGCTTAAAGATGAGAGGAGGCTACAGGGCAATAGAAAGCACCTCCCTCCAAATAACTATCTTAACAGAGATAAAAATATAATACTACAACAACACTACCTTGTATTTGCTTTACACTCGACAAAAAGCTTTTAGGAGTAGAAAAGTATTTTTTAATCAGAAGAACGTACCTGTTTTTGTACCTTTGCTGTATTGTAGATGGCTTAATTGGCATATATAAAGAAAGGTAGAAACACTGAATGGAAATGTTTTTAGAAAACAATGTTTATGTTTAACTCCTTAATGATTCAGTTAAATTTTAAAAACACACTTTTTTACTGGGTTTAGAGCAACTTTGAACCAATAAAGGCTAAAACAGGCTTTACATTTAAGAGTTAAGTTAGTGATTAGCTGATTACAAGATGATGTGTTTTAAATATAGTAGAGAGGTGATGAAGATTTTGGTTTTATCTTCTTTCCTAGTTAGATTCCTGGTCATAGATACCTCAAGACAATTAACACAGTGATTAACAATTGGCTTAAATTTCCTATTCTAGGTCTATTGTTTGCGACAGTGCAGTCTGATGAAACACCACTCCTAACCACTGATCAGATCCTTTAATGTTCCATGTCCTTCTATGCAGTCACTGAGAAAAAAATGGAATCCTGGGACAGGAATGTCACTGTAAATATTAACATTCTGGAAGTCAAATGTTCCATATGGCATTCTAAGTTCTGGCCTCATCAGAGAAGACAGATAAAAGCAGTACACTGTAGTTTAAATTTTGTGGGGATTGGAGTGTTCTGAGTAAACAATTAAACTCATGATTAAGAAAATAACATTTTTGTTGTTATTTTAAAAATGTCTTTGGATCTAGCATTGCCTTATTACAAAATGGAACAACTAGCACACAGAAGGAATAAGAACTGAAAGGCTGCGTTTGAGTCCAGTAATGCATTATATAAATGAAAGTATATTTTACATTTTGTTCTTTTCTTTCTTGATGTTCTCTCTTCTAAAATATCAGAGTACTGGTATTTTAGTACCAGTAATGTAAATGTATTAATTACATTTTTATTTTAAAGACAGAAAAAATAATATTTTTATATTTTTATGGCCGGAGTATGGTTTGCCATATGATACATGCACAGTGAAAACAATTAAAGACTCAATGTGAAAAACATCTGAAGGGACTGCCTAAGATAGGTTTTCTGTCACTAAACAATGACATAGAGCCTCAACAGAATGTTCTAGGCTTGAAATCGAGCTCATTTTAGAACGATAAAATGAATGGAAACATATAAGCAGTAATATTAATATTGCTTATATAAAATAAAGGCATATAAAAATTTCATTGATACAGACATCAACAAACAGCTCTGGAGCCAGTTTATCTAATGCGAAGTCCTATACCACCCCTCCATCATATCCTCCTGCTGCTGCTCCTTTCTGCCCCAAATCCCTAGTTGAAGTGATAACAGAGTAATATTAGTGATTGATGCTAAAATTATTCTTGGTAGAGGAAAAATATTTTTATACCGTTGGCATACTTTCAAGTTTTGAGACACTGACTAAAACTTCAGAAAGCTTGCCTCATTCTCTCACAAATTTTATTCAAAGCAAAATAAAATTTCTGCCAATAAGAGGTTCCTTCATTTTTGGTACCCTAAATGGTGGAAAGTAACAATGTGGCTGTTTTAGTTCTATGTTTGCAATGTATTTTATAAACACAAGCATGCACACACTTAAGTCCAAACATATATGCATTTATATTATATTTATTCTCTTTCCGATAAGACCATGAGACTATGCTTGTAAAACATTTACCCGTGCTGTCTTACCTTTTACAGATAGCGAAGCTATAATTTCAGCAGAACCAAAGACGTTTTCCCCTCGGCAAACGTACTTTCCCTCGTCTGATTTGGAAGCATTTAGGATCCGTAGACTCCCGTCTGGAAGAATAGCTATTCTGAAAATTATTTAAAAACAGTTTTTTTTTCTGTTTTACTGCAATCAGCTAAATAGTAAGAACCAATGATGAAGTCTAAAACCATTTCTAGGGTGATAATAAGTAAGATAAAGGATCACTGTGAAAATATGCAGTGATAGTAGAAATATTTTACCCTTCAAGAAGTATAATAAGCTTACTTAAATCTTCTTATATTCAAAAAGGTTAAGGAGTAACAAGATATTTTTCTTTTGACATTTTTTGACAGTTAATTTTAAAACTTGCAGAAGGGGTGACCCTGAGTTTGGTTATTAGAACTTGTTACTACAATATCACCCAGTGATATTTTAATATTAAGCTTGAGTATTTCACCTAAAACCAAGAGTGACCTCAAAAGTCATATATAAAAAAAAAAAACAGCATAAAAACATAGAGGAGTATAAGTACAGAACACAAAATTAATTGTATACAGCCAAGAGATGATTTATGGCAGTTATTCTGCGTTGCCACCAGAGTAGCAAGAGTATGAAAATGCAACCTGATACCTGGGCTGCTTGCACTGCACTTTCTAAACATAAGAATATGATATCTAAGTTTGCATTTGGGCTCTTTCAAGACCTTTGTTAAAACTGGACCTTCACTTTCATATGAAGGTGAAAAATTAAAGCGTTGTTAAAAATTTTTAGAAGTTCAGTGAAAATGAGGCTGACATTTGGAATTAACGTATTCTCCTGTGTATTTATTCCAGGATTATACAGATTTCAAATTTAATTAGTACTTTTGTCCTTTTCTCCCTTCTATGCTCCAGAAATATAACCTATTATTTCACCAGTGCATCGACCTACTCCGGCAACCTGAAACATAATAGACACGGCTGTTGTGGTTTTAGTGAATATGCCACTAGCTTTGGGTAAGAACCAGTAGCCCCTGTGAACTTTAAAATCCTAAAATCCTAAAATTGGATCCTCCTGATTCTAAGGACAATTTATTCCATGGCAGTATGATAATATTAAACTATTTAAGATTTAGAAATAATGACTAAATGTTTAGTCAACATTCTTTATGTTATTTTAAAATGTGTATTCAATCTTGTCAATTAACTGGAGCTCATGGTTATTTAGAGCATTGAACTTCGTAACAATTGATATTAGATTCTAGGCTGCTGAAAAAAACTGCCCAGGAATTTATACTTACATATTTTCATTAATAAAGATATCAGTTTGAAAACATATGGTTTCCAATATGGATCAAACTTGATTTATGATGTGTAAGAAGGAAGACAAATTTAGAAAAAAAGTCAAACTAGAAATGGTGAACTTCATTTTGTCATTTAAGTCTAGGAGAGATGCTAGCTTAAAACATTTGAAAAACACAATGCCCTTAAGAGTAATGTAATGCATTCAAGATTGTCAATGAAAAGTTCTATTCATTATATAGTGTTCATTTTCTATGAAAATGAAATGTTATTTATTCCATTTCAACCCCAAAGATACCTATGCTACAAAACAATGTATTAGAAAGCAAAAATTATACTCTTTGTAAACAAACAAGCATCCTCTTGTAAGAATTACAGATGGTTGACATTAATTTGTGCTGATTGTTAATATCTTGAAATTATGTGGATTTTACTGACTTGGGTGAATTCTCATCTAGCAGGTAAGAAGTTTGGCTTAAAAGTTTACTTCCTTTAAAGAAATAAATGTGTCACAGACACTGGCAGTATTATAGTTTTTGATTTAAGAGGAGTGCTTTCTTACTGACAGGAGGCAACATTTAACATAAACTATTAAAGACAGTTTATGAATGCCCTGTACTTTCGGCCCCTGATCCACTTGGGCATGCAGAATTTTGAGTACCACAAGGTTTTTTTTTTTTTTTTTAATTCAACTTATTTATTTTATAATTTTAACTTTTATTTTAGATCCAGGGGATACATGGGCAGGTTTGTTACCTGGGTGGGTATATTGCATGATGATGAGGTTTCGGATTGATTGATCCTGTCACCCAGGGTAGAGCACAGTACCCAATAGTTAGTTTTTCAACTCTTGCCCCACTTTCTCCCTCTCTCCTCTAGTAGTCTTCAGTTTTTATTGTTGCCATTTTAATGTCCATGAGTTCCATTGTTTACCTCCCACTTAAGAGTGAGAACATGTGGCACTGGTTTTCTGTTGCCGTGTTAATTCACTTTGGATAATGGCCTCCAGTTGCATCCATGTTGTTACAAAGGACAAGATCTCGTTCATTTTTATGGCTGGCTAGTATTCCACAGTGTGTATGTACCACATTTTCTTTATATAATTCACCATTGATGGGCACATAGGTTGAGTCGATGTCTTCATTATTGTGACTAGTGCTACAATGAACATATGAGTATTTCATTTTGGTAGAACTATTTATTTTCTTTTGGATGTATAACCAGTAATGGGATTGTTGGGTTGAATAGCAGTTTAAGTTCTCTGAGGAATCTCCAAATTGCTTTCCATAGTGGCTGAACTAGTTTACATTCCCACCAACAGTATGTAAACATTCCCTCTTCTCCACAGCCTCACCAGCATCTGTTGTTTTTGTCTTGTTAATGATAGCCATTTTGACTGGTGTGAGATGGTGTCTCATTATGGCTTTGATTTGCATTTCTCTGACAATTAGTAATGTGGATCATTTTTTCGTATGTTTGTTGGCCTCTTGTCTGTTTTGTTCTTGTTGTTGTTTTAAGACAGAGTCTCACTCTGTCACCCAGACTGGAGTACAGTGGTGCAATCACAGCTCGCTGCAGCCTCAACCTCTGGGGGATGCAAGGGATCCTCCTGCCTCAGGTCTCTCCTCGCCCCCTGTGGCCCGCTACACCCGGCTAATTTTTGTATGTTTTGTAGAGATATGGTTTCACCATGTTGGTCAGTCTGGTCTTGAACTCCTGGCTTCAAGTGATTTGCCCACCGTGGCCTCCCAAAGTGCTAGGATTACAGGAGTGAGCCACTGCACCTGGCTGGCCTCTTGTATGTCTTCCTGTAAGAAGTGTCTGTTCATGTCTTTTGCTCTTTTAATGGAGCTGTTTTTCAGTTGTTCAATTGTTTATGTTCCTCATAGATTCTGGATATTAGACCTTTGTTGTGTGCGTAGTTTGAGAATATTTTCTCCCATTCTGCAGGGTATTTACTATATTGATAGTTTTCTTTTGCTCTGCAGAAGCTCTTTAGTTTAATTAGGTCACACTTGTCAATGTTTTTTGCTGTGGTTACAATTGTTTTTGAGGACTTAGTCACAAATGTCCCAAGGCCAATGTCCAGAATGATGTTTCCTAGTTTTTCTTCTAGGATTCTTATACTTTGAGGTCTTACATTTACATTTTTAATCCATTTTTAGTTAATTATTGTATATGGTGAGAGGTAGGGGTCCAGTTTCATTCTTTTGCATATGACTTGTCAGCGATCCCAACACCATTTATTGACCAAGAAGTCCTTTCCTCATTACTTATTTTTGTCAACTTTGGTAAGATGACTGTAGGTGTGGAGCTTTCTTTCTGGTTTCTCTATTCAGTCCCATTGGTCTATGTGTCTGTCTTTGTACTAGTACCATGCTGTTTTAGTTTACTGTAACCTTATACTATAGTTTGAAGCCCTGTAATATGATGCCTCCCGCTTTCTACTTTCTGCTTAGAAATGCTTTGGTTATTTGGTCTATTTTATGGTTCCATATGAATTTTAGAATAAGTTTTTCTAGTTACACGAAAAAAAAAAACCGTTGGCAGCTTGATAGGAATAGCGTTGAATTGTAGATTGTTTTGGGAAGTATGGCCATTTTAATACTGATTTTTCCAGCTTTGCTGACAATCTGATTCTATACCTAGAAAACCCTAAAGACTGCCAAATGACTCCTGGAACTGATAAACAACTACAATAAAGTTACAGGATACAAAATCGATGTACAAAACTCAACAGCATTTCTATACACAACAAGCAAGAGTGAAATGAAGAACATAATCCCATTTACAATAGCTGCAAAAAAATTAAAATACCTAGGACTATATGTAACTAAGGAGGTGACAGATCTCTATAAGGAGAACTATAAAACACTGCTGAAAGAGGTAATAGAAGACACACACAAATGGAAAAAAAATTCCACAATGTTTTTTGTCTGTTAAGTGGCAGTGTCATTTCTCCAAAATTCTGTCTACTGATTCAAATTGCAAATGCTTACCAGCTGAGCTCATTTTTTTTAACTTCACAAAAATACAGATTAGATAATGTGATTTACATTACAATGTCTGGTTATTGCACACGTAATTACTTAGATAATTTAATATTGAATTAATACTTCCTTACAATACAGCCCCTTTGTCTTCATTCCTCTGCTATTACCATGTGGCTTCTACATTATAGAATTTTCATATATGGGGATTAATTCTGCTCAGACAGTCTTTGACTTGAAGAAAGGGAGTGAAGGGAGCAGTGAGGTGAAGGTTTTCAGGGGCTGGGAGAGATTTTGGAAATTTAAATCAGCATTCTTGCATTCAAGATCAAGTCACACTTATGTCCTGGTCTCTAGACTTCTCCATAAGTTTCTATCTAGCCCTGGAGATGTCTTGCTTCTCACCTTGCACCTAGTTACTCAGTCTCTGCTTTGTTAGTCTGTCCAGTAGCCCAGTTCATGTAGGACATCACTGTGATTACCCCTATCTTGTAGGAATTTATTATTGACTTATTTTGCCTATCTTGATTTCGGGGCCATTTTCTGGACCCTATATTTGTTATTTCATTATATTTTTATTTATTTTTGAGACAAGGTCTTGCTCTGTCACCCAGGCTGGAATGCAGTGGTACAGTCATGGCTCAGTGCAGCCTCAACCTTCTGGGATCAAGAGATTCTCCCACCTCAGCCTCCTGAGTAAAGACTGGGACTACAGGCATGCACCACCATGCCTGGCTAATTTTTGTATTTAGTTACTTATTTATTTGTAGAGATGGGCTTTGCCATGTTGCCCATGATGGTCTCAAACTCCTAGACTCAAAGAATGTACCTGTCTTGGCCTCCCAAAGTGCTGGGATTACAGGCATGAGCCACCCTGCCCAGCCTGGACTCTCCATATCTATGTTTGGCTTACTTGTCAGATACTACACAACTTAGTTTAAACCTTTACAAATAGACTGCTTGCCTGGAAGTACCGTCTGTTTACCCATTGCGATATTATTTAGTGATCTTTGATTTCTAGATTACGTTGTTTAACAACAGAAATTTATTTCCTCACAATTCTGAAGACTGGACAGTCCAAAATCAGGTGCAAGAATGGTTGGGTTTGGGTAAGGGCTGTCTGTCTTCCTGGCTTGCAGATTGCTGCCTTCTCACCGTGTGCTCACGTGGCCTTTCCTCAGTGCACATGTGTGGCAGAGAGAGAGAGGTTTCTCTTCCTCTTCTAAAACATCACCAGTTCTATTGGATTGGGAGCCTATACTTATGAACACATTTAACTTTAATTACTTCTTAGAAGCCCTCCCTCAAATACATTTAAATTGAGGGTTAGGGCTTCAACATATGCATTTTGGGAGGACACAGTTCAGTCCATTACGTGTCCTTCCTCTGCTTCCAAAAATTCACAAGTGAAGTTAGGAATCATTTTTCCCCTTAATGTATTGTGTACTTGTAGGAAGCCAGGAAATAAATACCGAGACCTCGCTCTTCTTTATCACTTCTGCTGCCCCATTCTCAGGGACAAGGGAGCCCACTGATGTAGTTCTTAGGGGTCAGTCTCTTGGGGTATACTGCAGAGTACTGAAGGGTGGAGAATGAATCTGGAGAGGAGAATGGAGGATACCTGATCAGGGTGTGTCACAATAGTTGCAAAAAGCTAGAAATGAATTCTTAGACTTAGGGAAGTTGAGAGAGTAGAACTTATCCAGTAAAACTTCATTTTACAGATCAAGCAACAAAACCCCCCAAAAGTTAAAATGACTTGATTGAGCCCATGACTTATGTATGAGACAATTTTCACACTGGTATAAAGACGTACCTGAGACTGGGTAATTTATGAAGTAAAGAGGTTTAATTGACTCACAGTCTTCATGAATGGGGAGGCCTCAAGAAACTTCTAATCATGGAGAAAAGGGAAGCAAACATGTCCTTCTTCACATGGCGGCAGGAGAGAGAGCGCCAAGGTGGGAAGAGCCCCATATAAAACCATCAGTCCTCATGAGAACTCACTACAAATCATGAGACCAGCATGGGGGAAACCACCCCCATGATACAATGACCTCCCACTGGGTCCCTTCTTCAACATGTAGGGATTACAATGTAGATGAGATTTAGGTGGGGATACAGAGCCATACTGTATCAACTTATTAATAAGAAATATAATTTGTAAATGATCCCTATATATCATATGTAAGCACTTTAGAAAATAGAAAAGTAATAGTTTTCCACTGCTGCATAACAAATAGCTATTAATGAACTAAACATACATTTATTCTTTTGGTTAGAAGTCTGGGGGGGTGGGCTTAATTGGATTTTCTGCTTACAGTCTCAAAAGGTGTTGGCCAGGCAGGGCTCCTCTCTGGACGCTCAGGAGAGGAAGCTGCTTCCAAGTTCATGCCTGTTGGCAGAATTTGTCTTGTATGTGTCCCTGTTCCCTTGCTGTCTGTCAGCTGGATACTGCTTTCAGCTTCTGGAAGCCACTTGCATTCCTTGGCATACATCCGCTTTCAGCAGATCAGATTTCTTTTTGGTATCATATCAGGGTGGACATTATATCATAGAATCATTTAATTAATCATTAATTAAGACCCTATGTTTTAAAGCAGGATAGGGCTGTGTTCAAATTACTGACACTGACTACTCTATGTGTGATCTTAAGCAAAGTTTCTTAATCTCCTTCCTAAATGTAAAACTGTCATAATATCTAGTTCTTTAAAAGTATTGATTACATAATATATGTAAATGTACTGTAGTGGCATGTGATATACATTAAATTTTACTGAAAATATAAGTGAAATGTGTGATAAATGTTAAAAAGGAAATAGTAGAGAGTGCCAGGAAATAACACAGAAACCTGAGCTATTTACGGAAGTAGTTAAGTCTCTTCTTAGGGGGTAATATTTGAGCTGAGAACTGAAGGGTGATTGATTTGAGCTTATCCTTCAGTGTGGGAAAGCAGGGGGACTTGCATTTGCAAAGATCCTGAGGTCGGAAGGACAAGAAAACCTTGAAGAAATGGCCAATCCTGATGGCAACAGAGAGATGGTCAGGGAGGGGCAAAAGATGAGACTGGAGAGGTAGGCGAGGGGGAGACCCTGTAGAACATAGTATCCTGTGAAAATCATTTGTTCTTAATTTTAAGGGCAATGGGAAGCTATTAACATTTTTCAACAACTTTACTGAGTTATTATAGGCATATAATCGCACATGTTTAAAGTGTATGCTTTGAAAAGTTTTCCTGTATGTCTGTAGTCATAAAACCATTACCATAGTGAAGATAATAAACATATGCATCACCCTCAGAAGCATCCCTGTGTTCCCTTGCATTCCCCCAGCCCCTTCTAACCCCATCGTTGTCCTAGGCAACTACTGATCTGTTTCCCATCACGATAAGTTAGTTTGCATTTTTCTAGTTTGCATTTTTCTAGAATTTTCTATAAACAGAATAATACATTACATACTTTTACTCTAGTTTATTTCACTTGGCATAATTAAATTGAGATTCAGCCCTGGGGCTCCAATTATCAGTAATTCACTTCCTTTTATTGCTGAGTAGTATTCATTCCATTGTGTGTATATACCATAATTTGTTTATCCATTTACCTGTTGATGGATGTTTGGGTTGCTCTCAGCTTAGGGCTATAAAAAATAAAGATACCATGAACATTTGTGCACAAGTCTTCTATGGATATATGCTTTCATTTCTTTTGGGTAAATATTTAAGATTGCAATGACTAGATCAACTTCTTTATGCTTACGTTTACCTTTTTAAGAAGCTGACATAATCTTTCCAAGTGGTTGTACCACTTTACATTCCTACCAGCAGTGTATGAGAGCTCTTGCAGCACTTCGTATGGTCAGTCTATTTTATTTTAGCTATCATAACAAGTAGGTAGTAGAATCCATTGTGGCTTTAAGTTGCATTTCCCTAATGATCTTGAGCAATTTTTCATATGTTCATTTTCCATCTGCATATTGTCTTTGGTGAGCTAATTGTTCAAATATTTACCCTTTTTTATCAATTTATTCATTAGATTTCAAGATTTAGAGTTTTTTTTTTACAGTGTATAAATAACTCTTATTTTAGGTATGAAACATGCAACTATTTTCTACCAGTCTGTGGCATTTCTCAATGTTTTTCCAAAAACAGAAATTCCTCATGTTGAAGTTTAATTTATTGATTTTATTTTATGCATTGTGCTTTTGTTTTATTCAGAAATATTTACCTAACCTAAGGTCACAGAGATTTCTGTTTTTCTTTTCCTAGAAATGTTATAGTTTTAAATTTGATGTTTATGTCTGTGATACACTTTGAATCACTTTTTGTTTGTGGTATGAAGTAGAATCTTACTATTTATTTATTTTGCAAATGGTTACTCAGTTGCATCATACTTTGATTTTGAAATGATGAACTTCTATGATCTGGATGTTTATGTCTGCCTCAAATTCATATGATAAGCCTCTAATTGCCAATGTGATGATATTTAGAGATGGAGTCTTTGGATGGTAGTAAGGTCATAAAGATTAGTGCCCTTATAAGAAGAGACATGAAAGAGATTGTTTTCTCTCTCTCTCTGCTCTCTGACAAGTGAGGACACAGAAGGAAAATAGCCATCTGTAAACCAAAAAGAGGGCCTTCACTAGAAACTAACCATCTTAGCATCCTGATCCTGGACTTCACAGCCTCCAGAACTATGAGATATAAATATGTAAGCAACCAGGCTGCAGTAATTTGTTACAGCTGCCCAAACTAAAACACTGTATTTTCCCACAGGCTTTACATCACTGTTAAAAATCAATTGGCATATATATGTAGGTCAAATTCTTGATTCTCTGTTCTGCTGCATTGATTTACCTGTCTTTATGACAAACCCACACCATTTTGAATACTATAGCATAATGACCTCTCTTGAAGTTGTATAGATTAAGTCCTTTTACTTTACTCTTCCTTTTCAAATTGTTTTGGCTGTTCTGTGTCCTTTGCATTTCCAAATGAATTTAAGAATTAGCTTGTCAGTTTCTAAAAAGGCATGCTGAGATTTTGATTGGAACTTCAGTGAGTCATATAACTCATGAAGAAGACATAACTCCATCTATTTAGGTCTTCAATTTCTCTAAGCAATGTTTTATAGTTATTGGTCTATAGATCTTAGACATCTTTTTAAAGGTTTATATCTATATTTTTGGTGCTTTTTTAAAGTATTTATTTAATAAATGAACATTTTGGAGATAATTGTAAGGTCACATGCAGTTTTAAGAAATAAAACAGATTCCTTCTATGCTTTCCTCAGTATTCTCCAATAATATTTTACAAAATTATAGTATAATATCACAACCAGCATATTGATATTTTTATACGCGTTCATCTTAATTTAGATTTTTCCAGTTTGACTTATTTGTGTAAGTGCGCATTTTAAGTTTTATACAATATTTTTCACCACTTTGGGTTTATCTACCACCACAATAAAAATATTGGACATTTCTAACCCACCGATTCTTTATTTTCCTTTTTATAACCACACTCATCTTCATCCCACATACTCACCACCATTCGCTTCCTAATTCCTGGCAACTGCTAATTTCTCTCCATTTATAATATTATTTTTCCATTTCAAAAAAATCTTAGATTAGTGGAATCTAACAGTATATAACTTTTGGGGATTGGTTTTTTTCAATCAGTTTACTTTCCTGCCTGGAGGCTCATCCAAATTGTTGCATGTATCAGTAGTTTATTTCCTTTTATTGCTAAGTAGTGATCCATGCTATGGATGTACCATAGTTTGCTTAACCATTCAGCTATTGAACAACATCTGGGCAGGTTCTACTTTTTTATAATTACAAACAAAATTGCTACAAGCATTGATGTACAGATATTTATGTGAACATAAGTTTTAATTTCTCTGGGATAAATGCCCAAGAGTATAATATCTGTGTCATATGGAAATTGCATATGTAGTTTCGTAAGAAACAGCCAAAATGTTTTTCAAGGTGGCTGTATCATTTAACATTCATACCAGCAATGTATGAATGATCCACTTTGTACACATCATCACCAGTTAGCAGTGGGTGATGTTTTAGTTGTTTTGTTTTGTTTTCTGATTGTAATGATGTTGAAAATCTTTTTCTGTGCTTGCTGTCTCTTCATATCTTCTGCTCATTTTCTAATTGGATTATTTTTACTTTCCTGATAAGTGTTGAGAGTACTTTATATATTCTAGATACCAGTTCTTTGTTGGGTACGTGATTTGAAAGCATTTTCTGCCAGTCCGTAGCTTACCTTTTATCCTTTTTACCTGAGCTTTCACAGAGCAAGAGTTCTTAATTTTGATTGATAAGTACCAATCTATCAACTTTCCTTTTATAGATCATACTTTTGGAATCATATCTGCCAATTCTTTGTTTAACCTTAGTTCATTATGCTTTCCTTGTGTGTATTTTTAAAATTTTTACAATATTACATTGACGTTTAAGTCTCTGATTCATTTTGAGGTAATTTTTGTGGAGATGTAAGACAGGTTGAGAGGTTTGTTGTTGTTGTTTGTCTTTGTTTTTGCCTCAGGATATTAAATCACTCTAGCACCATTTTCCAAAAGGCTATCCTTTTTCCATTGAATTACTTTTTTGCTTTTGTCAAAAATCAGTTGAGCATATTTATGTGGGTTTATTTTTGTTATCTGTTTTGTTCTGTTAACCTATGTGTCTATTCCTGCACCAGCATTACACAGTCTTGATTACTGTAGTCATCTAATAATCCTTAAATCGGGAAAAATAATTCATTTCACTTTGTTCTTCGTCAAGATAGTTTTGCTAAGAATTTTGCATCTTGATTCTCATGAGATATTGCCTATAATTGTATTTTCTGTTAATGTTTTTGTCTAGTTTGGGTTTAAGCATAATGTTGTCCTTGTATAATGAGTTGGGAAGTATCTGCCCCACCTCAAATCTCTGGAAGAGTTTTTGTAGAGTTGGCATTAATTTTGCCTTAAATGTTTGGTAGAATTCTCCAGTAGGGAGTTCTACACCTAAAGTTTTCTTTGTGGGAAAGATTTAAGCTACACATTAAATATTTAAAAAAGACATAGGACTATTACGATTATCTACTTCTTAAATGAGTTCAAAAAGACTTTTAAGCTGGGGAATGTAATTATAAAATATAAATTTCCTTTGTTATTTATGTAAATGCAAATTTGATTCATTAGTTCTGGCTTAGCAATGGATAAATTATTTTTAGTTCAATATGGTTATAATCTAGTAACAAGTGAATTCTAGTATATCATCACCTCTCAGGTATAATCAGGTAAATGCAGGTTTCATTATTATCAGACACTATATGACTCAATAGCTAATTCAAGGGTGTCACATTTCTTCTCGCAGGTTTTTCACATTTTTCCTCCTGGTCTTATTTCTATTTGGTTGAACTATAGAAAATTTTCATTATTTGGCTATTTTTATCTTATAAAAATGTCAATTTTACTTGGTTCAACCTAATGGTTTTATACTATTGTGTACCAGTACTCTTACAGTACTGTAGAATAGGAAGGTTATGCTTATGTCAGGAGTAGAGAAGTTTCACATTTATTCCATAGAAGTTTTCTCTGTTATCTCTGATTGCTTCTGTCCTAAACTGGCCCAATATCTGATGCTCATGATCCAAATGCTACAGGTTAAAAATTAAAGCAGTTGAACTCATGAAACTAGAGAATAGAATGATAGTTACCTGAGGCTGTGGCAGCATGGGAGTAGGGGATGATGGTGGAGATGACGATAGTTAATGGGTACAAAAATATAATTAGATACAATGAATGATCTAGTATTTAAGAGCACAACAGGATAACTACAGTTGACAATAATTTGTTGTACATTTTAGAATAACTGAGGGAGTACAATTGGAATGTTCACAACACAAAGAAATGATGAGTGCTTGCCCTGATGTGATGATTACACATTGTATTCCTGTATCAAAACAGGTCATGTGCCCCATACTTGTATATGCCTCTGATGTACCCACAAAAATGTGAAAACATGCTATGCACTAAGCAGGTGGCTCTCCCAGCACCTTCAGCAAGTGACGTTGAATCTTTGGGATGCCACCCATTGGGGGTCAGCTGGAGAGTTCTTCAATATATCACCTTCATTTAAGCATCCGTGCTGACACCTCTCCAGTGACCAAGATAGAGAAAAATAGAATATCCCAAATCAAACTGTGACTTTTAAATTTGTCACATAAAAACAGCACACAACACTTCTATTCACACTTCACTGGCAAGGCAAATAGTCTCATGTGACCTCAGAACAGCAAGGAAACACAATCTTACTATGTGTGTGGAAGAAAAACCACAACTGTCTGGTGAATAGCATTAATGCTTAGTGTATATCTTGTGCTATGCCATAATGGCAGAAGAGATGAAGGAAGTTTTAAGGTACAATCTTTGTCCATAAAGTCCTAACAATTTAATTGTTCACATGCGAATTGCAGAATGTTAAAATTATGTATCAAACTATAATTCTAGTGTAGCTCAGAAGGAAGGACCAATAAAAGCTGGAGGAGTCCAGTTACAAGTGGACAAGATTTGATACAGATTTGAAAGAATGAACAGGGAGGAGGAAGTAGACGAAGATTTTAAGAAAAAAGGGAACAAATGAGCAAAGGAGGAGAATTCAAAAGTGAGCATGGTATGTTTATAAGATAGAAAAGAAATAAAACAGACCAGAATAGTGTTTTGCTTTTAGGAAAACGAGTTAATAACGTTTGGAGAGGCATGATGGCAGCTGTACTGTCAGTAGCTACTAATGAAGAGCACAAGAAAAGAGCTGCTATTCTCCTTATGGTAGAAGAGGGAGTGGAGCTGAGGGTTTTGCTACAGTGCATTGATAAAGGGTTCATGATCCAGAGAACAGATGGATTCTGAAAACCTTCATAAATAATGGTACTCTCTGCTTTTGCCTCTACCTATTTTCTCTGTACAGGACATTGAGTTCGCTCCTTTGAAATGAGAACCCTGGCAGGTTTTTTTATGCTGAGTACAGGGTGGGGATGTGGCCATAAACCAGGTCAGAAGAGAGAGAACTTGGACGAGAAAAACAGTGGCTACATAGAGGCTGAAAGTATATGACGTCATCTGGGTTGACTATGTAGGCCATCTCCTTCACACCACAGGACTTACAACAATATCCCCAGAAGAGCATGAATATATTCAATTTAACACTGAACAGAACTTTAAACTCTACGTATATGTCGGCTCCCTGTTTTGGCAGATGAAATAGCCATCTTTTTAAAAGGAAAGACAATTATACATACAATTTTAATTAAAGGAGATAAGTGCTAAACAGAGACACACCTTTCAGGTGAAAGTGGTATCTAAGCACAGACTTGAAAATGGGAACTAATGGGAATTAGTTCACTGAATGGCTGGAAGTGGAGAAGGAGTGAAGTATTTCAGTCAGATTCATCAACTACTACTATAGAAACTACACATTGAGTAGTTTCTAAATTCCAGGTACTGTAGATGGCTTCTGGGATAAGATTCTGAATATGACCCAGTTCCTACCCTCAGGTACCACAGTGTGAAAGGAAGAGTTAGACAAGTAAACACGCAATTACTATGTAGTGTAATCAATTCTGGAAAGGGGGAAATACAGGGAGCTACTTGAAATACACAGCAGGGGTGCTGTGAGCACAGTTAGGGAAGGCATCTCAGAGGAGCTGACATCTCACTTGGAGGTTCAAAATTAGTTAGCCTTATCTTTTTCCTGGCTTGGGAGGGGAATAGGTAAAATGATCCATGGATAAGCCTATTGAATTTTTTCTTAATTACTTTTCTGAACTCTAGTCTTTGCTCCTTTCCTTCAAATTGCACATTATCTCAGGATTTAATTTCTAAAATTACAAATCTGATCACTCTTTTCCTAAACATTTCATGGCTCCCCATGCCTACAAGATAACATACTCTTCAGCAGAAGAGCTGAATATCTTCACCAAATAGTCATAACCTCAATTATTTCCTGCTCTGTGCTGGGAAGATCTCGGAACTGTCTTGTAATGCATCCTCAATATATGCTTTATTGAGAGGTTACATATGCATTTTATACACACACACACACACACACACACACCATACTATATGAAATATACTCATATATTAAATATGTAGTAAAACAAACAGTAGTTTCAAATTAGAATTAGAATTAAAAGCAAGTATGTTATACTATTTTCTCCCTTCCATCTTCCATTCCCCTCATGGATCTCTTGCTCACTCTCTAAATTGCTCAGACTTCTATTTGGAGACCATTATTCTAGTTATGTAAGACCACATGCTTTTCAGTGGTCAGATTCCTAACTATTTATCACTGCTCAAATATATCTGCCTGAACTCATCCTTAATCCACTTTACATAGAATTTTTCCTGCCTTCATTTTTGCTTCCTCAGGGCTTCATCATAGCATTTGTTACATTTTTCCTTAATAGACAAGAGCACTTGTCCATTAAGCACTATAGTTTCAACATTTTTAAGGGCCAACATAAAAATTTGAGACCTTAAAAAATAACTATTGGCTTGAACAATAAAATAATAACTGTAGTGTTGAAAATAATACAATGTAACGTTATAACAATCAGCCAACTACAACCTAATTCTTCCATTGTCATAGGCTGGCTCAGTGGCTTATGCCTGTAATCCCAGCACTTTGGGAGGCAGAGGTGGGTGGGTCACTTGAGGTCAGGAGTTTGTGACCAGCCTAGCCAACATGGTAAAACCCCGTCTCTACTAAAAGTACAAAAATTAGCTGGACATGGTGGCAGGTGCCTGTAATCCCAGCAACTCGGGAGGTTGAGGCAGGATAATCACTTGGAACCGGAAGGCAGAGGTTGCAGTGAGCCAAGATGGAGCCACTGCACTCTAGCCTGGGCAAGGGTGAGACTCCATCTCAAGAAAAAAAAAGTTATGAATCCCTTCAACTATAAAGTCAATTATAAAAGTAATTTTTACATTTTTCTAGCAAAAAGCACCTTTTTATAGGATATAAGTACATTTTATTATTTTTGATATAATGCAGGATGAGATCTTAAAAAAATAAGAGAGCCCAGGACCTATGAAAGTCTTAAAATGTTTCTGCTAATAATAAACATTTACGGATCACCTCATGTGTCAGACATCATACTACTTTTCTTCCCAACTTTGTTTCATGTAATGCTTCTAACCACTGTGTGAGTTGAGTATTATTGGTCTCATTTACTGATGATAAAAATGTGGCTCAGTATGACTTACTACCTTGTTCAAGGTTATTTAGCAAGTGGCAGAACCCTAATTTCAACCAGGCTCTTTGATTTGTTACATATTTTCCCGTCAGTGTCTCCTTGACTAATTCGTAACCTCCTTCACTTTTTGTCTTCATAAAGGACACATTAACTGGTACATAGTGTTTTCCAAGTACTGCATACTCAATAAATGAGGACTAAATCAAACTGAATATACTTGAATCACTGTATTTTATAGATGAAGACATTGAGATCCAGATCACTTTAAATTCCTTTTTTGTTAAAAAAGGCAATGGTAATAATTTACTTCGATAACATTTATTAAGCCCTTAGTATTTGCTAGGCACTGTACAAGGCACTTTTGATACCTTATCTTAACACTTACAAAGACCTAGCATATATTATTACACTCATTTAATACAGGAAAAGGAAGAAAATGAAGCACACCGGGCTGACAAACCTGAGGATTTTAAAAGTAGACCTGCTGGATTCCCAAATTTGTACTGAATTTTCAGCCACTGCACACTGACCTGAAGTAAATATCAAAAGAAAGCTTTGCATAAGATCACATGCTTAGTAGCAGCTCTGACCTACAATCCAGGCTGACAGAAGAGGAAACTCAAGGGTAACAAGATAAGACACGTGTTTCCTACAGATGATGGAAATGAAAGAAATTCATACTCTTTAACGTGATCAGTAAAATTTTTTAACAGCTAAGGGCAATACACACTCAAGAAAGGCTGTGCTGTCACCATGGTCTTTCTTCTAGATAAAGTTTAGCTGGAAGGAAGAAGTGAGGTGACCCAGAGAGACAAGGATGACAGCACTTGGAAAGTGAGGAAGAAAGCCTAAGTGCAGAATTTACTTTAATTAATGAGCCACCACCCCTGGGGCTCAGCATCACTGCAAGAATCATGAAGAAACTGCAGAGACTTGTGTGCTAAGCGACCGAATAATTTCAGAACCTCCAGGCTCTAATGGAAGAATAAGAAGGGGGCCGCCTTTTTGTCAGCTGGATATCAGAAGGTGCTTGAGATTAAAACAAACAAACAAAAAACAAAATGGAGAAACAGACTTGTCTTCTTTCTGAAGGCTGTCTCTACAAGGTATTCGTCACAGGCATATCAGGCTTAATATATATAGAGCTACACTCAATCTTTTTGCTCAAATTGGCTTCTCATTTCAATGTTTTCCATTTTATAGGATTTTGTGTGGAAACTTCCATGTGTGCATGTACCTATTTTTGTGGAGACAGTATATAGTTGCCCTTAGATTCTCAAGGGACTCTGTGATGAAAACAAGGTTAAGAACTATCATACAATTGTTTATTTTATAGGTGCGATTACTATGCCCAGAGAAGGAAAGCCTAGAGTATTTCTTTTTTAAAGCTCAGAACATAATTCAGGCTACTAACTCAAAAGTTTTAATTTACTTTCCTTTTTCTCTTATAACAAATAGGTGAAGTTGGATCTATTCCACGTTTTACGTATCTCTGATATCCATATCCTTGTTTCTGACTTACTGGAGAGTCTAAATGCAGTGGGTAACAAAGATGAAGTGGTTTTACTCCTTCTAACCGTTGCCTTTAACTATGCTGTCAAATCCATTTTTCTATCCCTTTTGGACATCCAGGAAGGTCCCATAGCTTTTTGATAACTTTCAGTTGTTATAAAGGTAAAGCTTAGCTCTGATTTATTGCTCTTCTCTTTCTCTTCTCTAGTTCAGTATTGACAATAGAGTGGGACCCAGGACCCTGCAGCTGTGAGGAGGAAAGTCTCTTTTCACATTTGTTCTCCTCCTGCTTCCAGGTTCCTTTCCTTCTCTGTGTATCAAAGTAGGACAGAATGAGCAGGCAAGGGACCAGCGTCTTACTTATGTAACTTCTGTTGTGGTCCCTTCTGGGACATAGCTGCCACTCTGGGTGAAGCTGGTTGTCCACAGAACCATCTGTGACTGAGGCAGGCCTCCAAAGGCTCGCTCTTGTAAGCACACCTGTGATGTCTGTGGAACCTCCTTACTGCAGAGTTCCCTGACTTAGACGACTCCTCTGGCACTGTCTTTTCTAAACTTCTTTCAACTACCACCTCTACCATTTTGCTCATGGAGCCTAGAAAGTTCATGCTGGCCTACCTTCTCCAAAGTCCATCCATCCAACCCACGGGAAACTTGCATACTCTTGCCTTTCTAAACGGTGGAGGTGTAGGTTTCTTTCCTGCCACTGCTCTGTCTTGTCATCTCTCTCTACTTCTTTTCTCTTCCTGTCCAAACAGGGCCAAGAGCTAATCGGCAAGTCTGTTGCCTAGGCAAACTCTCAAACAAGAAATAAAATACTGGTTTTATAATTTCTGGGGATGAGTGCTAGGAGCCTTCCCTCTTCCTTGAATTTGGAGGTAGGAAGGTTAGGTTAAGAAAAAGCCTAGCAACCCCCACTACGCTAAAGTGTGCAAAAAATGTCTTCCCTTCTCTTTAATATTCTCATATGTAAAGGGGTGAGGAATGGAAGGTGGCATAATGGGGAAGGCAATGCTATGCTGATAAGGATTTGGATAAGCAGAGCTGGTGCAGCTAGCAAGGCTCTGGAGGAGCTGTCTGATTTCCAGAATTTTAGGTGTTTCTTCAGTATACTGGGTGCCTAATGTAGCTTTGTTCCCACCTTAGGCTTAATTATGTTATTACTGCTTTATCTGACCTCCCCTACCTTATTTGAGACTCTCATCAGGATTCATCTATGTTACTGCAATTCTGCTACCTTTGCCTTTGGTATCAGGCCACTCCCCATTTCAACACATTGGTCTTGATGCCTTCACAGTGTGACATAGGTTGATGTCACTAACTGACTTAATGCTCCCCACTGCATTCAGGATAAAACCCAAACTTCTTAGCATGACATAGGATATTCCTCATAATCATAACCTCTTTCTGCCTTTCTGATTCCATCTCAAAATCCCAGCTGCTTTTTTACATCTATATCCATCCTATTTTCCATTCGTAATGCACTACTTGGTCTCTGAAGAGTCTGTTTTGTCATGATCTTGAGTTTTTGCAAATAGCCTTCCTTCACTTCTGTAAGACTTTTCCTGCTTCCAAGTCTCATATCTAATACATTACTTATCATTCTCTAATTTTTATTGTTTTGCTGATACTCAAATTACACCTAGGCAATGTTCCCAGATTCCTAGTTATTATCTTTTCACCCACACATCATTACTCTTCCTCTGTCCTCTTATACTTCTAGTCTACTCCTCAGTATCCCAGCACTCAGCATATTCTGTTGTAAATGTTTTCCCTAGACTGAAATTTACTTGAGGAAGGAAATGAGTATCATAATAACACAATAAGTAGTCAACAAATGGTAGTTAATATGTTCTCCATTTCCTCATCAGGGTATTTGATTAATCACTTTTTTTAATGTAATTAATTTATCAGACCACATTTTTTTTTTCCCCATGAAGGTTCATGATGAGATCTCTGGCTATCTAACTACAGTTGGGTGGCAGGGAGTGAAAGTTACAGATAGAGACAGTAACTACTATTAGTTTTAATAGTATTTGTTTTAATATTATTAGTTTTAATGCAAACTGCGTTTGCATTTTGAATTAACTTCATTTGACTGGATTGCAATTACTGTCTTTATTTCCACTGCTAAAATATTTTTTATGATTTTTCACTGTTTTAGGTACATATGGTACTACAGTATGTGTATTAACATGAATAAGCTGGTTTTTCCTTGACAGTACAAAGCTACTGAAAACTTAATGGTTGTTTCTCCTTTGAACCATACTTTGAAAAAACACTATTTATAGCTAGATATAAACCAACGTATTTATAACATTTTTTTCTACTATATATTAGAGGTTTTTTTTTCTTTTAGCTTTTCGAATAGTTTGGTAAAAACCTGTCTCAACTAAATACATTCCTTCGTTTTCCCCTGGAAGTATTCGGCTTTGCACTAATGAGAAATTGATCTCACAAAGAGAGAGAAATTAAAACCAAACACAATAAAGCTAAGTAAATGCTTTCAGAGTGACTTTGCACTGGGTTCTAAACGTTTCCACTGAGATGTTCCTACACTGAAATATGCTGTAGAATTGGATATAGTTCAAAACTGATAACTTTTTCAGTAAAAACACATAGTTGAGGTGGCATTGAATCATTTACCCTGTAGCTCTTCACAGTGCTCTGAACTGAATAATCTGTCATTTCACATTAACTTGGACATGAAGCCTGACAGTATTTCTTAATGCTGACTAAAAAGGAAAAGGACAAATATTCGTAAAGAATTGTAACCTTCATTATTTCTTGAATTTGTGTGAGATTTTTGCGTGTTCTTTTTAATCTGTTGTCTGCATAAATATCTAAATCTCATAGGAACTAGGGGTACATTAAGTGCTCTTCTGAAACCACTAAGGTCACAGAGATAGCATCCGGGGCAAGATTATAAATATTTGATATCCCCACCTGGGATGGTTCTTAGTCCATTTTAAATTATGCTGACCTAATTAGAAAGCTTGACCGTGGCTAAGCTTTTTAATATTAAAAGAACTCATTTTATTTATTGTTTCAATTCATTCACAGCTCTTCCACAATTTAGCTCAAGTTATTTTTTTGAACAGAGTCAAATCAACATCAATCAACTTTTATGTGTGGCATTGTAAAATACAGTGGCAGTCAGTACAATAACATCACTTGTAATCTCATGTGTAATTGACCTCCCTTTAATTCCCTGCCTCATCCCCCTCATGTATAAAAAGAAGAGTGTGGGCAAGATTTCTAGCACATTTCACCTATTTACCCATAAATAAAAAGTTTTTTTTTTGTTTTTGTTTCAGGATACCTTCTATAATTTCTTTTCTATCTTAAAGTTAACAGTAAGCATCAGAGAATCAGTGTATTCTTTTTTTTTCCTTTCTCTGAAGTTGCCTTGAAGTTTAAGTTTCTTTCTCATCAAGATCAGTCTCAGAGCAAAGAAAAGATGCCATTTCTGACTTCCAATTTGTACTCCACCATAGACAGCATGGAACTGTCCTTGTCTATGGATGACACGCAAGAATATAAAACATGCTCAGTGCGTTTGAGATAATCACTGATCCCTTTTTCACTTATGTGAAACAACCTGCTTACTGACAACACTCAAGAGCTAATTTCTGTGGTAGGGGATAACTGTAAGTACAAAAAGAATTTTAAGTCATTGTTGACTAGAGTATATGAGGAAATCAAGAATAAGTTAAAATGTTGGTTGAGTGTAGGGCTTAGCCAGTGCCATAAATAGAAAGGTTTTGGAGAAATATGATAGTATTGTTTGGATAACCCAATCTAAAATCATAATAGCCTGACTATCTTATGAAGTGTTAAGCCCAAAATAACTGCATCATTTGTGCATTTTATTTCTTGTAATGAAAATTGACATAGTGCAAACAAAATCATACACAGATTTTATATTTAGACAGACTGTCACAAGCTTTTGGGCATGCCATTTAATCTGTCTGAATAATCTATTTGCAAAATGAGAGATGGTAATATTTGTATGGTGAGAATTAGAAATGTTAAAAGTGGCTATTACTGTGCAAGGACTAATAGAAGGCGTTCAATTATTATTATTTAACATTAAACATATTAGCTACTATTTGTGGAGTGCCTTCCATGGGTCAGGAACTGTGGTGTGTTCTTTTATCTAGAAAAGTTGGGGGAAGTATTTTCATACAGTAACAGTAAGCTAAGACCTCAAGGATAAGAAATACCTACACAGAATCTGGGAGGAAAATATTCTTGTTGGAGGGAATAAATAACAGGTAAAAAGGTCATGAGACTAGAATAAGTTTTAGCCTAGGGACAGAGAGAAGGCCGGTGTGAATGAGCATAGTCAATGAAGATATGAGCATAGACATTTGTATTAATGGAAAAACTTAGTCATACTAACTAGACAACTTAAATCTCAGCTACTATGGAAGAAAAGTTCTAGCACACCTTAGAACTATTGCGGATTTAGTTGCAAACCACCTCAATAAAATCAGTATCTTAATAAAGCAAGTCACAAAAATGTCTTGTTTTCCAATGCATACAAAAGTTATTGTTATACTATACTGTGGTTAAGTGTACAATAGCATTTTGTCTAAGAAACAATGCACATATCTTAATTTAAAATAATTTATTGCTATAAAACGCTAACCGTAATCTGAGCCTTCAGCCAGTTCTAATCTTTTCGCTGGTGAAGGGTCTTCACCGTAGATGGCTGCTGACTTATCAGGGTGATGGCTGTTGAAGGCTGTGGTGGCTTAACTGACTAGTGGCAAATACTCAGATTATTCAGAAATATTAAATGGCTTGTCCAGTCACAGTTTAAGTAACTGGTGGCAATTACTTAAAATAAGACAACGATACAGTTTGCTGCATCAATGGACTCTTCCTTTCATGAAAGATTTCTCTGTAGCATGCAATGCTGTTGGTTCATACTTCACCCAACAGAGCTTCTCTCAAAAATAGGAGTCAACCCTCTTCAAACCCTGCCACAGTTTTATCAACAAAGTTGATGTGATATCCTAAATCCTTTCTTTCTTTATCAGTGTTCATAGCATCTTCACCAGGAATAGATTCCATCTCAAGAAACCACTTTCTTTATTCATCCATAAGGGACAACTCCTCATCCCTTCAACTTTTATCATGAGATTGCAGGAATTCAGTCACACCATCAGTCTCCAATTCCAATACTACTCTTGCTCTTTCCTAACACATCTGCAGTAACTTCCTCTACTGAAGTCTTGAACTCCTCAGAGTCATCCCTAAGGGTTGGAATCAAATTCTTCCAACTCCTGTTAATGTTGATATTCTGACCTCCTGCCATGAACTATGAATGTTCTTAATGGCATCTACAATGGTAAACATTTTCCAGAACGTTTTTAATTTACTTTGCCCAGATCCATCAGAGGAATTACTATCTATGTTAGCTTAAGCCTTACAAAATGTAATTCTTAAATAATAAGACTTGAAAATTAAATTACTCCTTCATCCAAGGGCTGCAGAATTAATGTTGTGTTAGCAGACATGAAAAACACATTAATTTCTTTGTCCATTTCCAACAGGGCTCTGAGATGACCAGGTGCATTGTCAATGAGTGGTAACATTTTGAAAGGAATCTTATTCTGAGCAGTATTTCTCAACAGTGGGCTTAAAATATTCAGTAAAGCAAGCTGTAAATAGATGTTGTGTTATCCAGTCTTTGTTGTATCATTTATAGAGCATAGGCAGAGTAGATTTAGCATAATTCTCAAGAGCCCTACAATTTTTGGAGTATTAAATGAATATTGGCTTCAACTTAGAATCACCAGTTACATTAGCCCCTAACAAGAGAATCAGCTTTGAAGCCAGGCATTCACTTCTCTTCTCTAGCTTTGGAAGTCGTAGACGGCATCCTCTTCCAAAATAAGGCTGTTTTGTCTACATTGAAAATCTACTGTTTAGTGTAGCCACTTTCATCAATGCCCTTAGTTATATCTTCTGGGTAACTTGCTGCAGCTTCTACGTCAGCACTTGCTGGCTCACCTTGTGATTTTATGTTATGGAGATGATTTATTTTCTTCAACCTCATGAACCAACCTCTTCAAGGTTCAAAATTTTTTTTTCTACAGCTTCCTCACCTCTGTCAAACTTTATAGAATTGAAGAGGATTAAGGCTCTGCTCTAGAGTAGGATTTAGTTTAAGGGAATGTTGTGGTTGGCTTGATCTACCTAGACCACCAGAATTTTCTCCATAGCAGCAAAGACTGTTGTGCACTCTTATCATTTGTGTATTCAATGGAGATGCACTTGTAAATTCTGTCCAGGACTTTTCCGTTGCATTCACAGCTTGGCTAACTGTCTGCCACAAGAGGCCTAGCTTTTGGCCTGTCTTGGCATTTGACATGCCTTCTTCAACAAGTTTAATCACTTCTAGCTCCTTCACTCCACTACTGCCATCTATCTTTTGGCTAGCTGACACCCATTCTTCAGTCAGTTCTCAGTTTAAGTGTCACCTCCTTCCAGAAGTTCTCCTTGACTACCTCAGTCCTAATCTAGGTCTGTTTCTTTTGTTACACATATGCATAGGATCACACCTCTTTCCTTCAGAAAAGCAGTTAATTTACTTAACCTAATTTATTACTCATTAATTAGTGTGATACTTATTTGAGATAAGCTTCTCCATTATATTAAAAGCTCAAATAGGCAGTTCCAGGCCTATTTGTGTTTATCATTGTATCTCTCGTGTCTAACATGAGGATTGACCCAGATAAAGTGCTAGGTATTTGTTAAGTGAATACATTAATACAGAAATGAATGTTTAAGAAAACATCTCAAATTTTGCCTGCTTTAAATGTATTTATCAGTCATCTCCAATTTTCTCTGTTGCTATTGAAATTAAGCTTAAATAATGTTTTTAAGCAGAAGCTACGGTCTCTTACACACAGTATCTTACACACAGTATATGTCTTAATCACTCTCTGAAAGAATAAAAGATTAAATACATTGTTACTTTAATTTTTTTTTGTTTGTTTTTGATGAATATTAAACTCAGTGTACTGTTTTAATTGGAATTTGGGGGCGGGGTTTGGAAGTTGTGGCAGGAAATGCCACTTTAAAAGGGTTGGAAATGACATGATTTTATATTGTAGCACAATCAGGAATTCCTCCATGAATCATGCATAGGATAAAAACTAGGAAATAAGACACTTGGGGTCTAAGTCTTCTTCTGCCCCATTTTTCTGTGTGTCATTAAGTAAGTCATTTCACTTACAGGCAATTTCTTTCACCTATAAAATGAGGAAATTATTCTAGTTGATTTCTAATGTATCTTTTAGTCCTTCACACCATATGACTCTAAAACTAAGATAACTGATCCAAGAAACTCATAGAGAAAGGCCTTTTTAATTTAGATATCTGACCAAACAGAGAATCCACCAGGTAAGACAATTTTTCAAGATACTGTTAAGTGTACACAAATTAAAAGTCATTAACACAAAGCTAGTAACTACTTTCCTTTGTGCCTATTCTGCTTTAGATATGAAGACAGACTTAATGGTAGGAGGACAAAATTGTTTTTCACTAATTCCAAAGAATTCTTATAACATTTCTTCTTAAATGAACCCATGAGAGAGCATGGGGTTAATTTTAAAAAGTGTTCTTGGCATGATTACCATGAGCTAAGGAGTAATAGAATACATTAGTATTAACTCCTTATTTGGAGGCCATATACAGTTAGGATGCCAACACTTACCTTGAATAATATGAAATGAACAGAAGAATTATTTCCATATTCTGAAACACAAAGGGCCTTTTAGAGGAATACATTTCTTTAATATTTAGTCTTGGTAATGAGATGTTTACATGGAACATTTTCATATGCCGGGGGCAGTAATCATCTACTAAACTATTATTGTAAAATTTGTAATAATGTCTGGTCAGATGAAGCCCAAATCTCTAATTGGTTCAAAATCTTGAGCACTGCTTCTGGAATATTAAGTATCAATGACACCTTATTAAAAATGTATTTTTCACTCCAAAAAATCATATTATAGTTATTTGCTTCTTTCCATGCATCACGTACCATTTGGTAGTTAAAGGGATTCATGAAATCAGAAATGGTACTTTTGATTTGCTTCTGGTAACAGAGACTTGAATCATCAAGCAGCCAACACCAATCATTTAGAAGGTAAACTGGAACAGAGAAAACTACTCTTTTATGAGACAGAGTATCATAGTGATACACACTTTAAACTGAAAGCTCAGGAGTTAGATAAATATGGCTTAAAATCCTTCCTTAGTTATGTCCTAGCTTATGATGCAGGCAAGTTCTTTAACTTGTCAGAGCCCCCATTTTTCTGTATGTAATAATAATATTTATCTCAAGGATTGCTTTAGGGGTTAACAAAATAGAATGCAAGGCGATCAGCACTGTGCCTAACAAACACCAAACAAGCATCAAATAAACATTAGGTATCATTCCTAATGGCACTGTAGAATCTTAAAATTGCATGAGACCTTATTCATTCACTCTCCCGCTCTCAGTAGTAATTATTTTGGTTATGTGATGGAAGATGATTCAACTTCTATGTTTAAACTTTCAGAGATAGGGAATTCACTATTTTGAAGGTAACCCAATTAATTTTTGAAGAGCTTTATTGGAACTTTCTTACTAAGAAACCTAAAAATACTTCCTGTAAGTTAGTAATAACATTTTCCTATATGTCATTATTTACAATTAACAGAGCTCTTTTGATACATTAGTCACTTTTCAATACATTATCTTATTTGACACAATAACCCTGTGACCTATTCATTAATTTATTCATTTCTTTGCTCAGTAAATACTTATTGAGCACCTGCTATGTGAGAAACACTGATAACAGAGGAGAGGGCCAAGTTACACAGGATCTGATACTTCCCACTGGAGTACAGTGAAAGCAGGAGGGGCACCAAGATCTATGTACTCTTTATTTTATTGTCCTTCAACCATATTATTTACAAGATTAATAATTATTCATTTGTAGTAGATGAGAATCTGAGTCTCCTATTCTTTCATAATGTTTCCAAAATTGCCTCTTTAATTTTTTATTTTTGCTGCCACCCATCTAGTCCTGACCCTCATCTCCTCTTCCTTTACCCAACCTCCCATTCACTTTGATGCACTCCGGCTTTCAACAGACAACTCCTTAGCTGAAACCTATCAACTAGAACCTGAGATTGACTGTGGACTGCTTAAAAAATAAGTAAAAAATATACATTTATACAATATTTTATGGTTTTATGACTTTTATGTGTAATATCTCCCTTGATTTTTAAAAAGTGTCATAGGTCAGGGATTATCAATCTCTTTTACAAATTAGTAAGAAAAGTTATGCAACTTGTGCAAGCAAGTAACTAAAATATTCAAAAACCCAAACAGAATCTTCTGGCTAATTTCCATACTCTCACCAATATTACATGCTGGTTTTCTGATATGTCTACAAAAATCATATTAGTCATCTGTTACTAAATTACCAAGTTATTTTATTTTTAAAGCAGTTTTATCATTTTTATTCCATGTCTTTTCTGTTATTGAAATACAACTATAGTACTAGTGTTATAATTTATGGTATAAACGATGGAGAATGAGAACAGAACAAAATTATATTTTTAGTATGTATTTTGGGACTTCTCTTTAGTTGTTCACTTTTGCTGTGTCCTCCATTTTTTTCTAATTCACCTAGGTATAACTAAAATATGAATTTTTCCATTTGATTTGCTATTTATTCATGAGCCTAATGTAATATGAGGATTGGTATATAGAATAAGAAAGATATAGCTATCTCTTTTAATAAGATTGTATTTTAATTTAAAGCAGAAATCCAGCAAATAATAATTGAAAGGCTAAATAAAATTCAAAGGACTAAGAAATACAGAACCACATTAAAAGTATACATTATTAACTATACACTTTGTCATCTCCTTCTATTTATTCTCCTGTTATCAGAAGTAGATTTTTTTGCCTTTGATTGTCCATATCGTCAATGCCAAATGATGGACATAGAGAATCATGAAAACTTAGTCTCTCAAGCTTTTGATTTAAAATTCAATAAGGATCTATGAATGTTCACAGTAATAACATTAGCAGTTTACAAGGGTAGGTTAACAGTAGTAGGCTAGTCCTAGTTTTTAAAGAATCTTTCAAACTCACCTTTGTGGTTAGGAGTGTAGACTTGAGTCAGATAGGATTTTGACCTTGGGTGAGTTATGCAACTTCTCTAAGCCTCAATTCTTTCATTTGTAAAATAAGAATAATAATAACTCATGTGTGTATTTGGGGACTAAATGATATAAAACATATGAAGTCCTTTTTAAAGTGTCTGGTACATAGGAGTAACAGCAATGATTTTGATTGTTTTCACTCAGAAATATCCTTAGGGATAATGGAAGGTCCTAATGAGGTAAACTATTCAAAACAGAGAAAACTAAATCAGAGGAAATGAAATAATCAGTGGGCTGGAGAAGAGATTATTTGGTTAGAAGGTAAGCACATTAAGTTGAGCAAATAAACAAGGTCAGCAGAAACAAGAAGTGTGTGGTAGGCAGTAGGTCAGACAACTGATTGATTGATTTCAGGACCTCTGGTATTCACAGTAAACTCCAAAGCAATAATGTAGGAAGTTGTATACTGTATTTATTGACTTCCAGAAAATAGTTGCTTGATAAGTATTAGTAGTATGACATCCAAGGGAATTATTCCTTCAAGAAATATTTTCATATCCATCTGTACATATCCAGATCAGCTGTATCATGTAAATATATTGCTCTGATATACAAAACATTCATTAGACCACTAACATTACAGTGAGAATGCTCTGTACTGAGTGGCATAATGTAAAACAAAACAGAAAAAAACATAAACAAGTTTAAATATGTATATAATATAAACAATTATAAGTGTAATAATTTTTATAATGAGACTCAGGTTGTAACCTGACTCCTTATTTTTATTAGCTATTATGTCTCAATCTTAATTTAAGATTCTCCAAATGAATGTTAACAAAGGTCATGTCTAAATAAGCTAAATATCAATTTTTTTGTTTTTAATTTGTCGAAATGAAATTTAGTACAGAGATTTTGAAAGATAATTTTTGCCAAGTACTCTAAAAATAATGTTGTTTTAAAACTTAATATACTCTAACACATTTCTAAGGCTGTAGGAGGCACAAAGGCAATAATGAACTAGAGTCATATTTACACTCCCTTGGCTTCCTCTAGTGAGAATAAAAACCTCATTTGGCATTCCAGAAATGAATTGAGTTATCTGGTACTCTGACTTGCAAAGCAGGTTAAGTACCATCTATCTTTCTCTTCTGATGAAAGGTGAAATATTACTTAGCAACTGGGGAAAAAAGGCAGTTACCAAGAAATATACATTATATTCAAAGATCTCATTACTATTAATATGAAGAGGGAAAAAGCATTTGCACCATTAGCAAACAAGAGATGAAATATCAAGTTTCAACTCTTCAGTTCTCTCGTTTGTTTCTGCCACATTTTTGATGTTCCTGATTGTAATTATCCTTTTTATGGGGTAGTGATAAGCCTGATCTAGTTGTGTGAATGAGTTATATCTAACAAGGTGAGAAAAGCAATAGCTTAAGCAGATGCCTAATACTAGACAATATCTTGGAGGAATTGTATCAAAATCAATGGATGTTAATTTTCAAAAATTAAAAAATCAGTACGCCTTCATTCATGAAGCCAGCTAGTTTCTGTTTGTAAACATTTCAAATTATGAATAATTTATAATAAAATAATAATTTGTTATTCTCAAATACAATAACTAGTATTAGGCTAACAAAACATTGCTAGTTAGTTCTGTTTAGTGAATAGAATAAAGTATAATTAGCATAGAGGATAATGAAAGTGGCTGCATTATCATTGATTGGGCATGGAAGAACTAGAATCATTAACATTTATGGTGTTAATATGTGTCAGGCATTATTCTAAGTTCTTTATCGCGGTTAGTTCATTTAATGCTCATGACAACCTTCTGCGTTGGTACTTTCACTGTCTGGATGTTGCAGATGAGAACAAAGAGCAGGGAGTAGGTGAGGCAGCCAGAATGAGAGTCCAAGGAGTCTGGATCCTGAGCCCAGACTCTTCCCTATTCACCCACTTGGACGAATGAATGGCTGTCTCCTGCTGGCCTCACTCCTCCATAGCATAGTGAACCACTCTCAATTTTAAAGTTCCATTAGAGAAGATGACTTATTTGAGTAAATTAGGAAGTCAAGGGAATTTGAGCAGTTCCAAGACCAGTCAATGCTTAGGTGTGTTTTTTGTTTTTTGTTTTTTGTTTTGTGTGTGTGTGTGTGTGTGTGTGTGTGTGTGTGTGTGTGTGTAGGAAGCTCCAGGGCTATCCTTGAGAGGAGATATCAATTACTAGTCTAAAAAAGCACAGACCTCTGACCTCTGCTTTTACTAAAATTAATAACCACCTTCTGTCATATGTATGTCTAGCATAAAAATTTTATTTACATCATTGCTTTTTTGATATAAGTATTATTCATTTTGTAAATGAAAAAATAAACTACATAGCAAGGAGAGGACTCAAATCCACTTCATGGACTTCTTCCTACTGTCTATGTGAAGTCAGTTTAGTCTCTGATTAGACATTCTCTCTGTAAAGTTACTTACAATATGCATTTACTAGTAAGAATATTGAACATCATCCATGAAAATATCTTTCAGTATACTCTACAAATTGCAAAGAGTAAAATATATTTGAATGAACTATGATATATAACCGTTTTACTGAACATTAATAGAATGCAATGTCAATCTGCAGGTATTAACTATAATATTTACCAAGTCAGTCTGCTAGAAATGTCCTTCAATTGTCTGATTCTCTACAGCCTCATTTAGAACATTTTCATCTCTATTGGGGCTTGGGCCTTCTTCAAGGGGACCCCACAATTCATCAGTTTAGATAATACCACTAGCTATACAGCTCTCTTGTGAAGAGTCACAGCCCAATCATGAAAAACTTCAGTAAAGAAAATTGTATTGGTTTATTATCTAATCTTACTTGACAATTAAAAAAAATGAATGGGATACCTAATGATAATTTTTAGAATTGGTGTTCTTTACACAATTGCATGAAATATTCAGCTCTACTGTTCTGTAATGTCTGTTGTGAGGTATGACTGGAACATATACATGGAAGATATTCTGAAAACTCTTAAGAATACAAGCTCTGGAGTCATACTGATCTGGATCCCTATAATGGTATATCCAGATCTAGTTATGTGACCTTGTGGTTATACAACTTAAGTCTCTTAACTACTTTGTATCTTAGTTACATATTAGGGAGATCAAACGTTGCTCGTTAGTGGCACTGCAGATAGTGTTCTCCACCACATAGGAGTGATGGAAAGATTGAATGAAGTAATGAATATTAAGTGCGCAGCATGATTCCTGGCATACGGTGCATGTTAGTTGTCATTATTATCCCATAAGTGTTAATCATTTATGAATGTATAGTTGACTTTTCCCCATAAGTAGAAGTAACTTGAGTGTGCACAAAGTAACTCTTTTGTGATTTTGGAGAAATGTATTTCCAGTCCAAAGTGGAGTTTCTGTTCAATGAATTTCCTAAATTTAGTATCTCTGTTTCTCACTCTTTCACTCTCTTCTCTCTTGATGAAACTACATTTCTACTGGGAATCATAAACAATCATCTTTCTTCATCTGTTACAAATATACATGTTGTGATTTGTCCGAGCAATCCCATTACTGGGTATATACCCAACGGATTATAAATCATTCTGCTATAAAGACACATGCATACATATGTTTATTGCAGCACTATTCACAATAGCAAAGACTTGGCACCAACCCAAATGCCCATCAATGAGAGACTGGATAACGAAAATGTGGCAAATCCACTCCATGGAATACTATGCAGCCATAAAAAAGTTGAATTCATGTTCTTTGCAGGGACATGGATGATGCTGGAAACCATCATTCTCAGCAAACAAACACAGAAACAGAAAACCAAACACCGCATGTTGTCAGTCATAAGTGGGAGGTGAACAATGAGAACACATGGACACAGAGAGGGGAACATCACATACTAGGGCCTGTTGGTGGGTGAGGGGCTAGGGGAGGGAATAGCATTAGGAGAAATACCTAATGTAGATGATGGGTGCAGCAAACCACCATGGCACGTGTATACCTATGTAACAAACCTGCACGTTCTGCCTATGTATCCCCAGAACTTAAAGTATATATATGAAAAGAAATATACATGTTGTGATAAAGTGAGTGCACTTCACAGTACTTAAAAAAACACTGCCTGAAGAAATAGTGGCCCATGGGAACTGCCTATCAATCACTCTAGATTATGTCTATTTTGGAGGTCTTTTGAACCTCAGAGGAAATGCTGCAAATATTCAGCAAGTTCACTGGCATAAGTAATATCTGGCATGTGCTCTATTGTCACCTTGTTATCTTTAGAAGGAGAACCTAACGACCTTTGTCACCCACATTTCTTCTAAATTTCTAACATGTTGGTGTTCTTTAAACCAATGCATGAAATATTCACCTCTACTGTTCTATAATGTCTATTTCTTAGGGTTCTGAGGTGTGATTAGAACATACACATGAAAGAAACTCTAAATACAAGCTCTGGAGTCAAATTGATCTACATCTCTTCAATGTAATTGCAATGATCATTTTTTTTTAAAGCTCAACAGCAGAAGTATAAACAGCCATCCATATTCGTTCTGAGAAATCCACAACCTAGGTGACTTAGCAGTAATAGAGCAGTTTTGGTGTATGGTAGATATTTTAAAAATAAGTACAAATTTAACATTATATCCAAGAAGAGTGCAGAAATAATGAAGGGAACACCTATGTAATCATTATGAAGGTGAGGAGCTAGAACATTGGCAACATTTTAAAACCTACACTTTTTTTATGGCCCACCATGATCACAACCCTACACACCATTTTAACTTTTTTTTTTCACAAGACAAATCTATGCAATACCAGTCTGACTTTGGTGATGATTATTCATTGACTTTTCCTGTAGTTTTAGCATCTATATTAGTTTTGCCTGTTTTTGAGCTTTAGGTGAATAGAATTGCACAGTATGTGCTCCTTTGTGTCTTACTCCTTTCATTCAACAGTATGTTTATGTGATTCACCTATATTGTTAGATATAGCTTTAGTTTATTAATTTTCATTGTTGCATAGTATTCCATTATCTGAATACACTGTCATGAATTTATCATTTCATTGTTGATGGACACGTGGGTGGTTTTCAGTTTTTGCTAGTGCTAACAGTGCTGCTATGAACATTGTTGTATGCACATGTACAACAGATTAGTGGTATATTTGCATAAAAGTTGAAAAGCTAAATTCTTGGGTATTCATATCCTTGGAACATAATGCCAAACTGTCTCTGGAGTGGTCATGAAAATATATAACCCTTCCAGCATGTATGGTTGCCCCTTGTTCCATTATAACTTGGTATTTTCAGATTATTAAAATGTTTCCTAATTTGGAGCATTTGTATTAAGGCTATCACACAATGTATTTTTAAAAATTTGCATTTCTCTAATACTAATAAAGTTGAACACTTCTTCTATTGAAGTTTCTTGTTTATGGAAAGCTTGGTCAGGATATTTGCCAATTTTTCTACTTTATCGCATTTTTCCCAGCTTTATTGTGATATAGTTAACAAAATGGTATATATTCAAAGTAAACAACATGAAGTTTTGATATATGTATACAAGATGAAATGTTATATATGCATCACCTTGAAGTTATTTTGTGTGTGTAGCGCAAATACTGTGTTAGTAAATGTCAAGTATGCAATACATTATTATTAATTACAGTCACTATCCTGTGCATTAGATCTCCAGAACTTATGCATCTTACAACTGCAATTTGTATCCTTTGACCAACAACTCTCCATTTCCAGTAACCCTGATCCATTTTGTTCGTTTTGATTTTGGTTTGTTTGTGTGACTGTAAATCTAGATAGATCATTTTTAGCTTTGTAGTTCAAACAACTCATCTTTCTCTTCTGAGTTTGTCTTGGCACTTGAAGAACAAAATTTCCTAATTCTAATACAGATTTTCAAAAAATTAGTCTTCCTCAATGGTTGCCACTTTTGTTTTTTTCCTCCCTTTTCCTTTCCTTCTCTCTTTTTAAATTTTTCTGCTCCACTCCAAGGTCATTAAGATATTCTCCAATATCATGTTTAAAAATTTTATGTTTACTTTTGTATTTAGAGCTTTAATTCACCTGAATGTATTTTTGAGTATAATGCAAAATAGGGGTAAATTTCTTCCTTTTTTCACATGCTTTTTTTATTTATCTATATAGATCTGGAATATCACCACTGTCTTAAGCATCTGTAACTATGCAGATCTTCGTTTGGTGTTTCTATCCATTCTATAACATGTGTTTGCAAGCCAATTGGTGTCAGTATTTTATTTAAATTCTGCATTCTTATAAGACTGTATCATAGTTGTCTTCATATTCTGTAAGGCAAGTTTTCCACCTTCTTTCTTTATGTGAATCTTTACAATTTTTCAACTTTCGCACTTTCATATAATTTTCAGAATTTGCTTATCAAGCTCCACAAAAACAAAGCAAATATACATGACCAATACTAAAACACTGTTGAGACTTGGGATTTTTTTTTTTTACAAGATTGAGTTTTTCAATTCATTAACATGGTATATCTCACATTTATTTAATTTCTGTAATGCTACTGGAAAAATTTCCTTAAATAGAATTCTGCCCATTTTAGCATATTTATTCCTGGGTTCTGGATTTTCAAAATTCTATATTAAATATCTGCTTAAAATATTTTTATTTTGCAACTATTTGCTCTTATCATGATATAAAACTACAACCATGTGAATCTTATTTCTAAAACGTAATCTATATGTTTTCCTCTTTCAGTATGTGCAATTGTATGTGATTTTTTCCCTCTTTCAATGTTTATACTTCATTATGTACTAACAACATGCCATTATAAGGGTTTAATAAACAAAATACTGCTTCAACTAATTTGCATATTAAGAAAAGTGATAAAAAGAAAGCAGGGAAGATCTAAAATCAACACCCTAATATCACAATTAAAAGAACAAGAGAAGCAAGAGCAAACAAATTCAAAAGCTAGCAGAAGACAAGAAATAACTAAGGTCAGAGCAGAACTGAAGGAGACAGAGACACACACACGAAAAACTTCAAAAAATCTGTGAATCCAGGAGCTGGTTTTTTAAAAAGACTAACAAACTAGAGAGACCACTAGCCAGACTGATAAAGAGAGAAGAATCAAATAGACACACTAAAAAATGGTAAAGGGGATATCACCACGGATCCCACAGAAACACAAACTACCATCAGAGAATCTATAAATACCTCTAGGCAAATAAGCTAGAAAATCTAGAAGAAATAAGAAATTGATACATTTCTGGGCACATACACCCTCCCAAGACTAAACCAGGAAGAAGTTGAATCCCTGAATAGACCGATAACAAGTTCTGAAATTAATAGCCTACCAACCAAAAAAAGCCCAGGACCAGACAGATTCACAGCCAAATTCTACCAGAGGTACAAAGAGGAGCTGGTACCATTCCTTCTGAAACTATTCCAAACAATAGAAAAAGAGGGACTCTTCCCTAACTCATTTTATGAGGCCAGCATCATCCTGATACCAAAACCAGGCAGAGGCACAACAAAAAAAGATAATTTCAGGCCGATATCCCTGATGAACGTCGATGTGAAAAGCCTCAGTAAAATACTGGCAAACCAAATCCAGCAGCACATCAAAAAGCTTATCCACCATGATCAAGTCAGCTTCATCCCTGGGATGCAGGGCTGGTTCAACATATGCAAATCAATAAACGTAATCCATCACATAAACAGAACCAATGATAAAAACCACATGATTATCTCAATAGATGCAGAAAAGGCCTTCGACAAAATTCAACACCGCTTCATGCTAAAAACTCTAAATAAACTAGGCATTGATGGAACATATCAAAATAATAAGAGCTATTTGTGACAAACCCATAGCCAGTATCATACTGAATGGGCACAAACTGGAAGCATTCCCTTTGAAAACCAGCATAAGACAAGGGTGCCCCCTCTCACCATTCCTACTCAACATAGTATTGGAAGCTCTCTCCAGGGCAGTAAGGCAAGAGAAAGAAATAAAGGGTATTAAAATAGGAAGACATGAGTCAAATTGTCTCTGTTTGCAGATGACAAGATTATATATTTAGAAAACCCCATCTTCTCAGCCCCAAATCTCCTTATGATGATAAGCAACTTCAGCAAAGTCTCAGGATACAAAATCAATGTGCAAAAATCACAAGCATTCTTATACACAAATAATAGCCCAATCATCAGTGAAGTCCCATTGACAATTTCTACAAAGAAATAAAATACCTAGGAATACAACTTACAAGGGATGTGAAGGACCTCAAGGAGAACTACAAACCACTGCTCAAGGAAATCAGAGAGGACACAAACAAATGGAAAAACATTCCATGTGCATGGATAGGAAGAATCAATATTGTGAAAATGGCCATACTCCCCAAAGTAATTTATAGATTCATTGCTATCCCCATCAAGCTACCACTGACTTTCTTCCCAGAATTAGAAAAAACTACTTTAAATTTCATATGAACAAAAAAAGAGCCCATATAGCCAAGACAATCCTAAGCAAAAAGACCAAAGCTGGAGGCATCATGCTCTCGGACTTCAAACTACACTACAAGGCTACAGTAACCAAAACATCATGGTTCTGGTACCAAAACAGATACATAGACCAATGGAACAGAAGAGAGGCCCCAGAAATAACACCACATATCTACAACCATCTGATCTTGGACAAACCTTACAAAAACAAGCAATGTGGAAAGGAATCAATATGTAATAAATAGTGTTGGGAAAACTGGATAGCCATATGCAGAAAACTAAAACTGGACCCCTTCCTTACACCTTATACAAAAATTAACTCAAGATAGATTAAAGACTTAAATGTTAGACCTAAAACCATGAAAACCCTAGAAGACAACCTAAGCAATACCATTCAGGACATAAGCATGGGCAAAGACTTCATGACTAAAACACCAAAAGCAATGGCAACAAAAGCCAAAATTGACTAATGGGATCTAATTAAACTAAAGAGTTTCTGCACAGCCAAAGAAACTATCATCAGAGTGAACAGGCAACCTACAGAATGGGAGAAAATTTTTGTGATCTACCCATCCGACAAAGGGCTAATATCCAGAATCTACAAAGAAAGAACTCAAACAAATTTACAAGAAAAAAAACCCATCAAAAAGTAGGCAAAGGATATGAAAAGACATTTCTAAAAAGATGACATTTATGCAGCCAACAAACATATGAAATAAAGCTCATCATCACTGGTCATTAGGGAAATACAAATCAAACCCACACTGAGATACCATCTCATGCCAGTTAGAATGGCCATCATTAAAAAGTCAGGAAACAACAGATACTAGAGAGGATGTGGAGAGATTGGAGGGCTTTTACACTGTTCATGGGAGTGTAAATTCATTCAACCATTGTGGAAGACAGGGTGGCGATTCCTCAAGGATCGAGAACCAGAAATACCATTTGACCCAGCAATCCCACTACTGCTTATATACCCAAAGCATTATAACACATTCTACTATAAAGACATCTGCACATGTATGTTTATTGTGGCACTGTTCACAACAGCAAAGACTTGGAACCAACCCAAATGCCCATCAATGATAGGCTGGACAATGTGGCACTGTTCGCAATAGCAAAGACTTGGAACCAACCCAAGTGCCCATCAATGATTGATAGACTGGATAAAGAAAATGTGGCACAGATACACCATGGAATACTATGCAGCCATAAAAAAGGATGAGTTCATGTCCTTTGCAGGGACATGGATGACGCTGAAAACCATCATTCTCAGCAAACAAACACAAGAACAGAAAGCCAAACACTGCATGTCCTCATTAGCGGCAGTAAACAATGAGAACACATGGACACAAAGTGGGGAACATCACACACAGGGGCTTGTTCGGGGTTGGGGTGCTAGAGGAGGGATAGCATTAGGAGAAATACCTAATGTTAACAAACCTGCACATTCTGCACATGTACCCCAGAACTTACAGTGTAATAAAAAAAGAAATGTGATAAAATTGCTATATTTAAAATATAATTAAATTACTAAGTATTGCTTAGTTCAGTAGCAGAGAAACATTTTAATTTTAAGTAGACTTGAAACCTAACAGATTTGAAACTTATACTAACAGATTTGAAACTTATATGCACTAGAAATAATACTTTACTGCCTGGTAATCTATTCCATATATAAACAAAAGTTAGCATAAAATAATATAATTTATATACGGTCATCAAATTATTTGTTAGCTTCTTTAAAACATTTAGGCATTATGATGCCAGAAATTATAGTCAGCATTAATACCAGATATAATGTTTTGGCATAGTTTTTTCTTGCGAAAGGCTTTTTATACTCACCAAAACTGTGTGCCCATTTTATTTTTCAAGGAAGAAAGGTTAGTATTCACGCCATTTGATTAATAATCAGTAAATTCATTTTGCTTTTATAATTTTCTATAGAGTTTGGAAATCTTTTTCTTTTTAACAAGAATACGAAGTACATCAAAACAAATCTGATTTATTATTTGCTGTACATTTTGACCAATTTGGGGGCAAGAACATAATAAGCGTTTTTTTATATTTGATGAAAGGGAATTTTCAATATTTAAAATAGATACATTATTATCAGAGACATCACATAACCTTCTGATTAAGAACAAATAATTTTAAAAGTACTTGTACTCCAAGAATATAACTTTACTGAAATCGTAAAAAAATTCAACATTCTGCGATTCTCAGGAAATGAGTGATTTTTAACTGATTGCGCAGGTTTACTAATAATGTTAATGATGCAATCCTGTGACAACAAAAAGTAGCAACATTATAATAAGTGTCATGTAAACGATTTTGCTGATTAGAGTTTGATTATTTGATACTAGCTGGATTCTAATTTTAGAATGTTTGCTCAGTTGCTCTAGCCCCTTATTGTTTCTCATAAATCAAATGGAATGGAAAATTGCATTTTTATTACTTCTTTCTGTTCTCCTTTTTATGAGAATACTTTTTTTGTGGTTAAGCCATTAAAAATTAATACTTTATGGGTAAAAACAACCCATGATGTCTTCATTATGGTGATCTCATGCTCAGGGCATGCCCTGAGGAGGCAGATCCTGGCTCTCACCCTTAAGCTCTGTCTGATTGTTGGCACATTATTTAACTTTCTGAACCTTAGTTTCCTCATCTGTAAAACAGGAATGCTATAACATACTTTGAAGCATTTTGTATTATAGATGATTTTACTCATACAGAGTAGACATTTTTAAAGAATCATTAATAATGAGTTAACATTAATTAAAAATAGTGAAAAATAATACAGGTTATACTTCTGAGTCTTTTAAGTACTGAAAAAAATTCAGATACCTTTAGAAGGAGGCACTAAACATGCAGTTTTCGTTTGGGGAAAATCTCAAGGAATAAGAAGTCAATTATTTTCAATCAATCAATGAATATATATTGTTCATCAACTAGGGACCTTCATCACAGCTTCATCAGCCTAAATGGGCCACCTTTCTTCAGGCACATATTGACATTCAGTTCACTTCTTCTGTGTCACGCATAAAAGCATTTTATTCAGCGGGGGTTTTTTGTTTGCTTTTGCTTTGTTTTGGCAGTACGTGAATTAGAAAATGCTTGGAACAGGGAGTCAGGGGACCAGAGTTCCAGGTCTGGTTCTGCCAGCAATTAACCTTCCAAACTTAAGCAGATCTCTAAACGCTTCTGGGTCTCTGTTTGTAATAAGGCTACCTTGTTAACGCCACAGAATACAGCAAGACTTGCTGGATGATCATAGCCTAAAAGAACGCACCAAGTGGAAGAAGCCTTTGGGGTTAAGGAGAAAAAGGAGACAAATGAGTCGCTGTAGAAGTCACAACAATTCAGGCAGGCAGCCAAGCCACAGGGTGGTGGAAGTCTGGTTGACGATTTCACTTAGAGGCTCAAGGCTGAAGATTGCTTATTTCCTCCAGGAATAAAATTGTGACTAAAGGAGACGTGGTTAAGGTCATATTGTGAAAGGTTAAGAGTTTCAGAAAAACTAGCAGATAGGATCAGGAGAGAATTCTGTCTGAAAGATATTATTAAACAGAACTGAGGCCAGAGGACTGGCTAACCCACCTGCCAAGAGGCTTTCATGTAGGAATAAAGACATACTATACACAGGAAGCTAAGAGGCACCTAAACCTATCACAGTGTAGCTGAAGATATTTCAAAATACTTTAAGTATACAAAAAAAGTATAAGTAGCAGTCAGTCTTTTCTGGAAAAAAAATACTCATGTAGCTTTGAGCTGAGGAAAAGCATATCTATCTAAATTGCACAAGATAATTTAATAAAATCTGGGAAATAGGTAGAGCGGGAATAGATTTAAGGACCTGGTATGACAATAAAATTGAAGACACTTAAGTTGGTAATATCTGTTCAAATTAACGTAGGGAAACCTATAAGTCGATGTACCGGGTTGCTTGCCCCGTTAGGAGTATACCTAGGTTCAGAAGCATTCTAAAAAGAATGCTGATATTATATGGCTTGCACTTTGAGCCCAAAAACCTTCACTGCCATAACTAACTAGAGTTTCTATAATCTCCTACTCTCATTTTGGCAACTGTCTGTCTCCCCCTACCCCTTCACGCATACACTAGAACATAGACTCAATGAAGATTTTTGTCTCTTGCTCACTGCTGTTTCCCAGTACCTAGGACAATGCCTGGAACATGGTATGTAATAAACATACATGGTATATTTTATACCATATACACATATACATACCATGAACTCCACTTACATTGTGAATAAGTATAATGTGCATTTACTTATACAAGTTTAATTACACACAACAATTACAACAACTAAATTAATTATAAAATGGATGTCTTAGTCAGCTTGGGCTCATACAACAAAATACCACAGACAGAGAGACTTAAATGATTGACATTATTTCTCATGGTTCTAAAGGGTGGGAAATCTAAGACCAAGGTGCCAGAAAATGTGGCTCCTGGTGACAACCTTCCTCCTGGCTTGCAGATGGTTACTTTTTTACCGTGTCCTCAAGCAGAGAGCTCTGGTCTCTCTTCCTCTTCTTATAAGCTCACTAATTCCTTCATGGGGTCCACATTCTCATGACCTCATTAAAACCTAATTGTCTCCCAAAGACCCTGCTTCCAAATACCATCACATTAGGGGGTAAGTGTTCAACATATGAATTTTTCGGAGACACAAAGATTAAATCCATAACAATGCAATATTGTTGTTAATGTCTAGTTTTTCCTCACGAAGAACAGGCAAAAAGCCTTAGCCGAGTTCAGCTAGAAAACTAAGTTGTGTTTTGTTGATTGTTCTTCTGCTTGTGTTGATGACATTTTACTGATTTTCCGAGTATTCCATGTGTATGAGGACTGACCGTAAAAATTTGTAATCCAAATTAGAAAAGTTTTGAGAGGGAAAAAAAGGCACAAAAAATAACTAAAATTATAGAGTTTTTGAAATATTTATAGATTAACTGACAAATCAGTTTTATAATATCGGTGGACCTATAAAATCATTCTGTTTAAAGGCCATTTTCAAAAATAAAATTCTTTCAAAAATTGAACATATGGCCATACACATTAAAGAAAAAAATTTGAAATCTTAGTATTGATCTTATGCAAATTTTAAAATAACACAAGCAAGCACAATAATAATTCTGGATACAAAGCCATATATTTTACTCAGTTTCTTACATATATATGTGTCTAATGCCTCGTCACTTGTATTTTTCTGAAGAATGCATTTTTAAAATTCTTGATATATTACATGGAACTTTTCTGCAGATCATAATATATTTAATTGAGAAAAATCTTCTCTCTATAGGTGATAAATTACCTGATATGCAAAAGCGCATTCTGCTAAATGGAAGACATCCTCAATTCTGTTGGAGGGGCAGTTACTATTGAAATGCATAAATGTTTGAGACTAAATATTTTCATAATACTGTTTTCTCTCCACACCAAGTACTTTTCTCCTGTTTATATTGGTAGAATATCACAGTTTGTTTGGATTAAAGTGTAACTTAAATGTGCACTACATAAATTTTGAGAAGAGCTCTACCCCATGAGATTTTTTTTTTCTTTTCTTTTCTTTTTTTTTTTTTTGAGATGGAGTCTCACCCTGTCGCCCAGGCTGGAATGCAGTGGCACAAGCTCGGCTCACTGCAAGCTCCACCTCATGGTTCACGCCATTCTTCTGCCTCAGCCTCCCAAGTAGCTGGGACTACAGGCACCCGCCACCATGCCTGGCTAATTTTTTTGTATTTTTATTAGAGATGGGGTTTCACTGTGTGTTAGCCAGGATGGTCTCGATCTCCTGACCTCGTGATCCGCCTGCCTTGGCCTCCCAAAGTGCTGGGATTACAGGTGTGAGCTACCGCACCTGGCCCCCATGAGATTCCTAATATCATTTGTGCCATGACATTGTGCTACACCCAAATGTATATTTTATTTTATCATTTCAAAATAATTCAATAAATATAATTTTAAAAGCAAACACTTTTCCTTTAATTTTTTTACATTTTAAACTGAATTTATCATAGCATTTATTATGGTGTCAGATATTTCATCTTCAACAGAATGGATCACAAAGAGCTATACTTCAATTCCATGGTTTTGAAGACAGATATTGATTCAATTTGAATAAACTTAATTGATATTTAATTTTACTGCATTGTTTTAAAACCAGTATCATTTAGCTATTTTCAAGGTCTGATGCTGTTAATGAAGGCAACGCATTAACAGCAATTGCTTCACTTTTTGTACTTTCATATGAAAACTTGGAACAGAAAATGAATGAAATTAGTTTAGAGGAACAGACATTTATCTAAATGAAAAGTGATGCTTCACAGAGTAATATGCAAATGCATAGCCAGCAGCTTCACATGTCAAATTGTCATCTTTAGACATAATCTTCCTAAAATCTATTAACTTTTGAAAAAACGCTGATGTTTCATCAGCACATTCTGCCCCCTGGTTTTCAAGTGCTCAGCAGTCCTCTTGGTAAGTATCTACAAATATTTTGTTCGACTAATATGTTCATCAAGTTCTTTAAGAATTATAAATTCAGTACTTAATTTTTTCATTAAACATTCTTTTTTTTTTGTTAGCTCATGCTGCCAAAATATTTATTACTAAATAAGAACCGCACTACCAAACAATCAAATAAATATTTACACCGCAAGATAAGTGACAAGGATGCTAGAGCAAGAGCATAGACTACTCCCTATATGTTACAAGAGTGCCCAGTTTCCATTATCCACACGTGTTTGTTTGTTAGATATATCTATCTGACCTGTAATTTTTCATACTTTCCATTGGTCCTGTTATTTGTTGGCCCGGGGGCTTCATGCATCTCACAGAAGGCACATTAGTCCAGTACACCAAAGAGGCCAACAGGGCAGTGGTGGCAAAAACGACTCACACAAATACTTGAGATCAAAGGGAGTTAGTTAGCAGATCTCAGTTACACCGGTTTGGGGGGTGACAAAGTGTATTTTGAACAGTGAGTGCCCTGCATACTGTCCTTGAAAGAGATATATTGTTAAAGCTTGGAAGGGCAGGGAAAAGAGAAAGAGGCTATGGCTATTTGTCTTTCACATTGAAACATGAGTTAAAATATACAAACTTTTCACAGCACAGCCATGGCACTTAGCCCTGAGAGCAACTCTCCTTTTGAAGTTGTATTATCTTCTCCATGTATAGATACTGATTTGGGGGCTGAGATATTAAATGACAATATGTACAAGACCAAACAACTATGGGACAAGCTTGGATTATAAACTAAGCAGGTATCTCAAAGCTGCAGAGATAGAGTGCTCAGAGTTTTATTAAAAACAAAGGAATGAGTTACAGTTTTTAAAAATTATGAGTATATGGATAAGGTCTTATTAAAAAGAGAAATGCTAGAGCCTGTGAACAAGTATAAAAGTTACTAATATTGGCTAAACCTTCCAGATGAGAGGAGAATGAATGAGATAAAGGGGTTAAGTGTAATTTAGAAATGTTTTATTTACAGAGAATTAATTTAAAATATTTTTAAAAGCTTTAGGGTTTCAAACATACACCTTCTAAATTAAACAATTTAGAAACACTCCCTAGAGAGAAAATGAAGACGTAAATGTCATCAGTGAGTTTTATTTATAGAAAACCTGATTGTAATCCTGGCAAGGCTTCCTGTATCCCACCATAAGGTAAAATTAGCACCCAGTCCCTGGAGAATGGCAGAACCTCGAAAGTTCAAGGCAGGTTTTTGCACCCCAAATCCTATTAGTCATTTTCTTCTCTGTGGGTGTCGTGAATAATATGAAGACATATAATAGAAGGAAAGGGACAATAAAGGATACACACACACACACACAAATACACGCATTTTTTTTGACAAAAAAATATAAGGCTCCCCTAGCAGAGTTGAATTGGAGAAAATGGTGGAGACGTGTGTATAAATCGCGGCTTCCGAGCAGAACTGACCCAGCTGCAGGCAAGAGTTGCAGGTTCGAATGATTCAGGTTTAACTTATAGGGGCAAGACAAACTCTTTCCACCTAAGGATGCAGAACTGAGGCAAGATACCATGAGACATGAGAAGTCCATAAGAACAGTGACCTTTAACACAATAACTCAGTTCAGATCTAGCTGTCACTGGTCTTACAAGTCAGATAAGCCACTCCTCTTCTGAAGAAGGGAGATAAAAAGACCAGACGGAAGAGCTCATTCCTTTCCCCTATGAATGCGTGAAATTCAATGGAGAGAAAATAGTATAAGCCAGCTGCACAGAGATGGGACCCTGCCTGGAGTCTCAGGGGACTTCAGCAGCCCAACCTTATTCCAGAGTAAATTTGAGGTGGGCTGGCAGAAGGTAACAGAAAGATGAAACCAGGTTGCAGAGACCTTGTTTGCCATGCTAAAGAGTATGGACTTTATCCTGTAGAGAAAGAGGCATGAGGAGACTATAAAAGACATGATCACGTTTACATGTGAAACAGAGGATTATGCTAGCAAAGAGATCATTTAGGAGGTTACTGAAATAGCCTATGCAAAATATGAGGAGGGCTTAGATTATAGGCAATGATGAAAATGGAGACTGTATCTTTTATTTTATTTTGCATTGCTTAGTGAAATATATTACAAAGAGCTGACACAATAAATTTCTACTAATATGTATACTTAAAGATGTTCATGCATTGTTCACAACATTTAAAAGTCACCTTGCCTAATCATTTATATCCCTTTACATTAGCTTAAAGGTAAAAATTATTAGGAAAAAATGAATTTATCTTGTGTATAAAATGCCCAAACAGAAGATTCTAACTATATTATATTTTCAACAGTGAATATGATCTACTCGCTGAGAATAGTAATTAAACGTTCTGTGGAGTTCTTATTTTGAAATGAATAATTTGTTACAAACTGACATAATACTTATTTCATTTGTCACTAAAAAGCTGAGATCCAAGGGAAAACAAAACTTGAAATAATGAGAGAATGTTTCTTAAGAGAAGCTAACAGGCTGTTTCTGTAATTATACTCTCAGCCCTCCTTATAATAAAAATCATAGATCTAATGTTATAAAAACACAAAGGGTATTTAAATTTTGTGTGTGTGTACTCCTGATTAGAAAATATAAAAGTAATGGCAATTCATTATAATATATATGACAATTGTAAAAATGTGTACGGAAGAAAGTAAAGATCTTGTATGATTCCAACATTTAGACATAATCACTGCCTACATTTTGAGCTCTTTTCTTCTAATATTTAATGAACACTATTTAGATGAGAAAAATTGTAATACAGTCACCCTTAATCAAACCCTGAATTCAAAACCCTAAGTATTACTGATTGTTATTTCCCTCACATAAAACACAAAATCTGCTTTGCAGGCTACAAAGAGCCCATGCTTATATTTATACAGCGGTATTTACTACATTTACAGAGAAGCTAAAGGGAATGTCTCGCTTTTTACTTAAGAATTAAGTCTTGTAACACTCATCCTGAAATATCTCACACATTAAGATAAAACTTCTCTATTCCATGGTATCTGATTCTAATACTGGTGAATAATTTAATGAGCAAATCATGACTGTTAGAGAACGGCTATTAATGGAGTGATTTGGGGACGATCACAGAACTCTTTTACAGACCAAAAGCCCTTAAGTCCTCTCATGGTTTGTGAGCAGGCTACATTTAGTTCTCTGTCTCTTGAGTGAGTCTATTGAGAAAGCCTAACCCTGTTTGCTTAGAACTGCAGGATTTTTGAGACCTAAATCCCTAGAGTCCCTGGAATTTCAGGCCATGTAGCCAAAAGCAAGTCAATAAGCCTTTCTGTATCTCTGTTTCATCAGTAAGATGATAGTAATGGCTCAGAGAATTGAAAGAAAAACAATGATGGCAAAGCACTTTGCAAATACAAGTTCTTAATTGACTGGTCATTAAGGAAACCTATTAGGTAGTGATGATTCCCCAGAGGCTCCTGTCAAGTCCCAGTTTCCATTTAAATACAAACCGTGTGTTCAGACATGTTGCAAATGTGTAACACCTACCTACGTAAGAGTCACTCATCAGAAATTTAAACGCATCATCATTTGCAGAGCCAAGAGATTAGTGATCAATGAGCAGCAAATGGGTTAGAGGTCTGAAAATACCAAACCAGTGCACACCAAAAACATGACTTCAATAAAGACATATATAATTGGTGGTTGGTGGAAGAAACCAGCTGTATGCTATCCAGAATGGTAACGACAGTAGCTAATACTCGTTTGGTGTTAAATGTCATTTTATGTGCTAAGTGATTTAGCGGCGTAATTTTGTCTACTCTTCCCAAGAACTCTACAAAGTAGGTATGATTATCCTGAGTTTTACATATATCAAAAATGAGACATCAAGAAGTGACTTTCTCATAATCACACAGGTAGTTAATAGAGTTTAAAGACCTATTGAATCTAGTTAAAAAAGACAGAATTTAAAGATATGACCCCAATGGAAAGGTCTCTAATTTATTATGTGAAGTCGGTACCATAAACTTGACACCTAAACTTGAGAAAGACAGTATGAAAGAGGAAGGTATGCATCAATCTCGGAGACAGATGATAGAGAAATGAAAGAAAAAGAGGAAGGAAGGAAAGAAGGAAGGAAACTAGCACACTGAATTCTGAAGAATAATCAATTTTTTAACATTATAACCAAGTACAGGGCTTTATTATGAAATACAAGAATAATGTTCCCTTAAAATTCCTCACTCCAGACTCAGTCTCAAAAAAAAAAAAATTCCTCACTCCAATAGGCTGAAGAAAAGAAAGCATAATTTAATCACCTAGATTAGAATTTCCCAATTATATTTTGTGGATGACATCTAGGTTGGCAACAGGTACTCCAGTAAAGGAGTTTCTGAGATTAAATAAGCATTAGAAGTTTATGCTGTATCTCCTTTCAGAGTCAGAGCAAATGCATATATTGAATGCGCCAAGAAGGTCTAAGTCTGTTTAACTGTTTAATCCAGTGTTTTAAAACTTATTTAATCTAGAAAATCAAATACCACATGTTCTCGTAGGTGGGAGCAAAAGAGTGGGTACACACAGACATAAAGATGGAAACAGTAAGCACTTGGGACTCCAAAAAGTGGAAGGAAAGCAGGAGAGAAAGGCTTGAAAAACTACCTATGGGGTACTATGTTTATTATTTCAGTGATGGGTTTCAATAGAAGCCGAAACCCCAGCACTATACAATAAATCTACATAACAAATCTGCACATGTACCCACTGAATATAAAATAAAAAAATAAAATAAAAAAACTTGTTTAACCATGAAACTCATTTGTTTCTTCAGAACACATTAACATTATATTGAATTGGTTTATGAAACATGGATCGAAGCAGATACTAAACTACCAAATTTTAGTAAAATTTGATAGTCATGATTGAGCTTGAATTGTTCATTTAGAAATAATGTTGTTTTTAAATGTTAATAGGAATTGTTATAGAGAATCATTACAGAGAATGATGTAAGAAAATGCCATTTTCCTTAATGCGAGAAAACCAGAAATATACAAGGTAAGCACTAAAATGAGAATCATCTGGATAATAAAAACCTTTGGACTGTTTACAAGTTGAGATCATGCCTTGAGGAGGAAAAAAGCTCAAATCACACCACCTGATCTCTCCCTACCAATGCCTTCTGCTAGCATCCCTCTGGCTACCTCAGGTCCCTTTCCCGTGAAAGCTCTGACTCATGCATAGATGAACCTGACCTTCCCTAAATTTTATTTGCCACACTGGCTCTAAATTTTTTAAAGACAAAAGTGGAATACATAAATAGAGTGGGTACCATATTACTAACAATCTGGCATAGAGGAGTATAGCTTAAACTCTGTAGTTCATAAACATTGCCCTCCCCTTCCCTTGGAATCTCCTTCCTTTTTTCCCGGAACTGGTCCAGCTGCACATTGCCATTCTGTCCAGGAGTGACTGCAGACCTGCACAGGTGGAGTCTTTAAAATCTGACCCAAGAGAAAAAGAGATCTGTTCTCTTTCCTAGTATAACTAGGTTTTGCCCAGCGAGTCTCATTTTTCTGAGTTTAGTTCATGTTTGTCAATGGCTAGAGTTGACTAGTAGGAAGATCCTACCTCCTACTCAGGGACTGGCATTTACAGTTTTCAGGCTCCAGCTGGCTTTAACAATTAGAATACTCACCAAATGTGTTTAATACTGAGATAATAAGGGAGAGGAAAGTAATGTTTCCTTATAGATGTCGTCAATGAAGCTTGGTTCAATGTTACAGATACATTTTCAAACATGACTAGAAAAAAAACATAAAACTAGGATGAAATGATTCATACATATTACATTGTATGTTCAAGTTGAGTAGCCCTTGGCTTATCCAAGATGCTTGAGACCAGTAGTGTTGCAGATTTTGAATTTTTTCAGATTTTGGAATATTTGTATATAAATACTGAAATATTTTGGGAGACCCAAGTCTAAACACAAAATTCATTTATGTTTCATACATGTACACATAGCCTGAAGATAATTTTATACAAGATTTTAAATAATTTGGTGCATGAAACAAGGTTTAGGTACAGTCAACCACCAGAAAGCAAAGGTGTCATTTTCTCAGCCATCCACGTGGACAATCTGTGGTTGTTTGGCATCACCATAATAATTACTCAGTTTGAATTTATATTCTACTAATATGTAATCACTTTCCTGAACTTATTCACATATAAGTACTTTACAGTAAAAAAAAAATGACATCATTAATGCAGTGAAAAAATAATGTGTTCAGGGTAACCAAGAAACACAGTAGCATCCCAGGAATATCTGTGTCAGCTGTTAACAACAGCAACAGCAAAAAATGCCAAGCTTTCTGTCTACACCTAGGATGCTGTGTTTTGATTAAAAGGTTACTTGATACAGTAACCGCTTGGAGACACTGAATAAATTATGTTGTGCACCTGCATTTTGATTGCAACCTGTCACATGAAGTCAAGTGCGAAATTTTCTATTTGTAGTTTCATATAGAAGCTCAAAAATTTTGGGTTTTGGAGCAGTTAGTATGTTTGGATTTTCAGATTAGGGATGCTCAATCTACATATGTATTAGTCAGAGTTCTCCAGAGACAAAGAACCAACAGGAGAGAAAGATAGAAGAGAGATCAACAGATAGACAGATAGGCAGACAGACAGACAGACGGATAACATAGAAGTGTGAGAGGGAATTTATTAGGAGAATTGGCTTATGCCATTATGGAGGCTGACAAGTCCCAAGATAGGCCATCTGCAAGCTGGTGACCCAGAAATCCTGGTAGTGAGGCTCAGTTCAAGTCTGAAAGTCCCAGAACCAGGGAAGGGAAGGTGATAGTGTAATTCTCCGTCTGAGGGGAAAGCCTGAGAACTTGGGGGTCTACTGAAGTCCAAAGGCCAGAGAGCCTGGCGTTCTGATGTCCAAGGGCAAGAGACAAAGGGTGTCCCAGCTCCAGGAAAGAGAGAGTAAACTTGCCTTTCCTCTCTGCTTTTTTGTTCTATCCAGGACCCCAGCCAATTGAATGGTACCCATCCACATTGAGGGCAGCTCTTTCCTGTCAGCCCACCAACTCACACACAAATCTCTCCCAGAAACACCCTCACAGACACACCTAGACATAATGCTTTACTGGCTTTCAAGGTATCCTTTAATCCAGTCAAATTGACACCTCAAATTACCCATCATAATATATAAGAATTTTCAGCTTACCATAAATTACACATATGCTACCTAACTTAATCACCAGTTAAATCACTTGAATAACCCTGTCAGGTTAGGATTTCTTACGCTATTTTATTCATTTCTATAACAAATGTTGACTTAGAGGATACTCTGTACCAAATACTTTGACAAGCACTGGGAAACAAAATTAATATTCCTAGGTTTTCAAGATGTTTTCACTCTGAGAAGACTGCTACAAAATTATAACAAAATGCATTAGGGACTAAATAGAGGTAAGTTGTTATTCTCTCTTCTGAGAATGTGCTAAATACCTCTCCTTCTGCAAGCCACTATTAAGAGAGGTCAAAAGAACACCCCTGTGCTCAGGATTGTCCTTCTGCTAGCCACAAAGCAGAAGTTAGGAAGTCCCAACTGTTCGTGTGTTCCTCAAAGGGCACCCCACCCCTCACTGTTTCCAAAACAAGCAGTCTCGTCAACACTTTCTGCCTTGGAACCCTCAGGATTGGGCTAATTTCATTTTTCCCTGTTCCCTGCTCCTTGAAATCACAATAACTGCAAGACTCCCAAGTCGTCTTTCATTCCCTAGACTTTAATCCCCACATGGCTGTATGTATTGCCTTTTTAGACTCCGAATTCTACCCCTCTCCAACTTTAACATGCCTCCCCCCAACCACGTGCCCTATGGAAATGAAGCTTCAGTCATCACCATACTGTCATATTTGCAAACTTTCAATTTTTCCTCGACCATTTTGTTCCAATGGAAACCTGGATTTTTCCTGCCGACAATACTTCCCTGTTAGCCCTTTGATGTGAACATTATTTCTGTACAACGCTCATGCCCATAAGGATGGCAGCTGAAGGATGGGGGACTTTCTTGCTTCTCACTGCCCTTTCCAGAACATCTCATTTCCTGTTCACTAAAAATATTCAACTTTGACTCTTACATCACCAGGTCATAGCCCCAACTGACACTTTGTGTTAGAATTATATAGTAACCTTCTTCCTAATCACTTTCATTCCTTGAAAATTTTAGCTCCTAGCTTGCCGTTTTTCATTCTAACACTCTATCTGTCTTAATTCTTGGTGATTTTAATATCCCAGATAATTATTCTACTTCTCTGGCTTCTCAGTTTCTTACCCTCCTCTGTCCTCTAACTCATCTCGGCTCTTCACGCCTCTGGTCAGGCCTTTGGCCTTTCCTTTACTAGTAATTAAAACCCCCTGATAATCTCAATTGCAAATATCCTACTCTTGAACTTCAACTCCATCCTTCTAGTTCACCCTTTTCTGTACCCTAACTCCAACAAGCCTTTAATCTCATCAAGACCAACAATTCATTAATCTCACTGTCCTTTGCCATCTATTTATCTAGCTTAAATTCCATGATGAGTTATCATAACCACTTCTTCCTATGTTCTTGCCTCTTTTACTTCCCCCTCTTTACATTTATCATACTCACTTGGTAAAACCTGAAGTTCTATTTTAAATTGAACTCTCCACCTCCTCTATGCCTGCACCCATACAGTTAAACACAGCTGGAGAAAAATACAAAGCCATGTTGGCATATTTCTTTTAAAATTCATGAGCACTAACTCAAGTAAGCTCCTAATACTGCCTGGAGATCACTGGTTTATTTATTCTTCTGCTCTTTCAGGCAATTATTTCACACCAACTTCTTTTGGCTCAAACTTTCTATCTCTTCCCCTCTTCACTGTTAAGGGATGCCCTTGTTTCTACTCTACTTCCTCTCTTTCTCTTGATAACTTATCATGACACCCTGCTGGGCTAACCTTTCTACTGTGCGCTAGGATTTGTCAGCCATTCCATACTTGAGAGCATTGCACCAGGGATTATATTCTTAGCCATCAGTTTCTTCTCTTCTTTATGAGTCTACAACTTGCTTTCTCTAAATATTAACCTATTATTTTCTTTCTTCTTTTTTTCTTTTTTTGGACACAGAGTCTCACTCTTGTCACCCAGGCTAATCTCAGCTCACCGCAGCCTCCACCTCCCAGGTTCAAGTGATTCTCCTGCCTCAGCCTCCCGAGTAGCTGGGGTTACAGGTATGTGCCATCACACCCGGCTAATTTTTGTATTTTCAGTAGAGATAGGGTTTTGCCATGTTGGCCAGGCTGATCATGAACTCCTGACCTCAAGTGATCTGCCCACCTTGGCCTCCCAAAGTGATGGGATTACAGGCGTGAGCCACCACACCTGGCCATTATCCTATGATTTCTTGAAACTGCCCTAATGAGACTTTTGTCCCTGGCTTACTGCGCCTGCTCCTGTCAAGGTTACCACTGAATTCTATGTTACTAAAATGCTATGGTCAAAACTGTGTCCTCATCTTTACTTGACATATCAGCACCATTTGGCACAAGGGATTCTTTTCTTCTCCTTGAAATACTTTCTGCTCTTGACTTCTGTTTTGTTTTCTTCTATCTAAATGACTATGTAAATCAGTTTCTTTTTCTGATATTTTTATTTCCAAAGACTTCAAATTTTGAAGTGTGGTACTTCTACAATTTCTTTCACTAGCACAAATTCCATGGTGAGCTAAACCGGGGCTTTAATTATAATCTATATGGTGATTATGCCATATCTCTGCCCTGTGACTACATCTCCTGCTACCAATGTATATATTTAACTGTCTTCAAATATTCTTATTTATATTAGGTTCTCACTTAAATTCTTCAGTCATCCAGATCTACTTTTTTCTGCAAATGGTTCCATCAATAAGGACTAATTTTATTCTTTTAGTTGTTTCAATTCCTCAGGTCAAAAATTCTAGAATCATCTTGCATTCCTTTCTTTCCCATACACTCAAACTCCAGTCAACTAGAAAATCCTGTCATTTCTACCTTCCAAATACGTCTAGAAAGATATCACTTCTCATCATCTCTACTACCAAGCATTGTGGTTCAAGCCACCCTTATTTCTTGCCTAAAATTTGTACAATAGCATTCTAACCTGTCCTTCTGCTTCTGCCATTATGCTCCTTCAGTTCATTCTTCACCCAGTAGTCATAGCAATCCAGTAGAGAATAAGTCATATCATGATCCCCTCCTCAACACTTGAAAGGCTTCTATATCACTCAAAGTGAAAAATCAAAGTCCTTCAGTGACCGTAAGACCTCACACATTCTGTCCTCCTACGAGCTCTGTAACCACATCACCTACCGCTCTCCCCATCACTCAATCATCATCAGCCATAGTAATCTGTTTGCTGTTTCTTAAATGAATAGGCCTTTTCTGATTGTATTATATGAAGCCAAAATCCTAATTCCTATTTTTTGGCATTCTATTCCATTTACCCATTTATTTTTTTCTCCATTGCACTTAACACAATCTGACAAATCACATTCTTTACAAAAATGTCATCTGACTTTCCCTGATACAATACAAATTATTTAAGGCAGAGACTTTGTTTTGTTCATTGCTGAGTTCCCGGTACCTAGAAAAGCGCCTAGTACATAGTAGGTACTCCATGAGTATTTATTGAATCAGTGAATGTTAACTCAAAAATGTTTGGTATCGGTTCATTTTTTTTTTTCCTTAGTGCCAGGACTATATATCCACTTGCCTACAGAACATTTCAAGTTGGATTTTTAAAAGTACCCTTAAATCAACTCTTCTTAACCTGCTCATTTTCTCATCTCCCTTATTTTATTCTCTTTCATGTTTCTATCTTAATGAGTGGCACCCTAACCCAAGTTGAATCCAGATGACTCTCTGTCCTTCATTTCCCTTTCCGTCATCTATTTTGTCAACTAAGTTCTGTTAATTCTATCTTTCCAATATCTCTCAAGTCAGTTTTTTATTCTTCAAGTTCATCGCCAGTGTCAATATTTAGGGACTCACCTAGATATTTCCATCATTTTGACTGGTATCCCTGGCTGTCTTCCCAGTTCTCTCAAAACCACCCTTTACACTGTGGGCAGAATGATTAAGAAATATGGGTAATGCTTTACTCTCTTTGCTCCCACATCATCTTTTGCATAATTTTGTTAAAGTACTTTTTATAATGTATTTCAATTAATCATATCCTAATTGCATTTTCCATACCGGCCTGATAATGTATGGCAATTTACCAGCAGAACTGAAGCTCATAGTGATAAACTGACTTGCCCAAGTTCTCAATAAGTGACTAGATTCCAGGTTTTGTGATTTTTACTCCAGGACACTTGATACACATACACACACAGTCACCAACTTCCCTGAGATTTTATTTAGATAATATTACATGGATAATTTGAGATAGCTATTTAATCAGATAAAAATGAATGTCATCCTTTCATTTATCATCTAGGTATTTAAATTAGAATTTATTTATTGTGTAATTTCTTGCTTTCTTCCCCATGAGAGTTCCTATATTTAGCATAGCACCTGGCCCATAGCTAGTGTTCAGTAGATACATTTTAAATTGAATTAATAGTTGAATAAATAGTTTCTGGTATGTTTCCAATTTGAAATAAATTTATATTTGAAACTCTTTGAATTATTGGTTCACAGTAGGAATTTCACATTATAAGCCTCCTATATGGGTAAAACAGCCTGAATATTAAAATTGATATTTACATTTTATTTTGTGCAACACTATTTGACACATGTGATGGAAGAATGATTTACATATAAAAGAGAAATGGATAATGGAAAACATCTTTCTTTAGTAAAATATAAAAACACATCCTTGTCTTTACCTTAAATCTTTTATATGCCATAGAATTCTGTATTTATACCTGGAGTGTATGTTTTAGTTAAAATATCTATTATATTACATATATGTAAACATACATATTTAAGTAAGTATATATTTTATTTTAAACTGTTAATGATAAAAATATCTGAATTCATTTTAATTTCTCTAATTTTCCTTGCAGGTAATGGAGTTCACATTACCATAGACTTTTCTTGATGTCCAATCTAAATAAGAAAGGTGAAATAAAATGACATATTATTTTTCTTTTTTTTCCCAAGTGTTTGTTTCTTCTGTGTTACTTTATTTTTTTTTTTTAACAATGTGGAAACCAGGCCCATATTTATTTTCATTCTCTTTATAACTGAATGGTGTAATAAATCCATACTGGGCATACACATAGTTTGTTTAAGCAAATGATGATCCTTTTACCTTTGTTTAGGAAGAGCTTTGAAAGTGCTGTGAACACACTTGTGATATTGTCCTGGTAGTAAAAATTTATTATTCATATGATTTTTTTTGTATAATGATTTTATTTATCACTAGATTGATTAATGTCAATTATTACAAAAAACTAAAATAAATTAAAAGAACATAAGCATAAAATAGGTCATTTTTTCCTCCAGAATTGAAAATATAATCTTCAAGGGAAATAGAGCAAAGTTCATTTTAATTCCTCAAACTAAATTAGAAGAAAAGCAAAAGAACTGGCATAAATCAGATTTCTGGCAGGCTCTAAGTCCAAATACAGATGAATATGTGATCTTTAGAAAAGATGTAAAAATGCCACTGCCATAAGGAGTGATATATGAAGAAATTTTATTTCCATTTATATTGAACAGAAGATTGAAATAGCCAGCCTTGAATACCATATTCAAGGACAAAGTATTTCAAATTCCCAAGACCAGTGTTATGCTGATGGTTGTTCTTTTGTACGTCTGCTTTGACAATCCTGGGTTTAATCTGATCTTCATTGAGCTATGGATGATTTAGTCACATCTGTTTTCCTAATTCAACAAAACATTATTCCAAAGTTAAGACAATACTGTATGATTTATAGATTGAGAGTATCATTTTTATATGCCCCTGAACATAGCACTGAACTTCCAGATAATGGTGACAAATAATATCATGTACCAGTATTCAATAAATTACGAACAGGAATGAAACCAGACCTTAACTCAAAGAACAGCAGAGATATATCTAACAAAGCAGATGATGGACCATCATTTAAAATCAACCTATAAGTTATGATTGAAACCAAATAGAAACAAGAGATCATAAACCCGAATGAAAGATGAAAGAATTACAAAATAATACCAGCAACTACAGGTGTGACCATAGCCATATTTGCTAGTCAGAAAACAGCACAGTTAAAATTGTCACCAATATCAGAAAGCAGAAGAGAGAGTAATACTCATGGTGATTTTACTCTTTGTGTAAGAAAACTCGTCATATTAGTTTGTGCTGGGCAAGTAGTAAATATTTAATGAATATATTGCTTATTTAAGACTATTAGTGATGGAAGAAAATTAGGAAAGTGATCTAACCTAGTTCTCACAATTTTATGGTAAGAGGCACACTTGTTTTATCTGAGGGATTTAAATATAATTCTTTTAAAAAATCTTTTCTGGCCGGGCGCAGTGGCTCATGCCTGTAATCCCAGCACTGTGGGAGGTAGAGGCAGGAGGATCATAAGGTCAGGAGATCGAGACCATCCTGGTTAAAATGGTGAAACCCCATCTCTACTAAAAATATAAAAAATTAGCTGGGCATGGTGGCACATGCCTGTAGTCCCAGCTACTTGGGAGGCTGAGGCAGGAGGATTGCTTGAACCCAGGAGGTGGACATTGCAGTGAGCTGAGATCATGCCACTGCACTCCAGCCTGAATGACAGAATGAGATTCTGTCTCAAAAAAAAAAAAAAAAACACTTTTATATCCAACCTAACAAGATAACACATATCCAAACAGGAATGTAAATGTTTTTATCACAACTTAAATTATGTTGTCTCTTTATGTCTTTAGAATCCCAAGAGAAAATATAATAATTAACTTTAATAATAAACCCCTAAATGAATCAATGAATGAATTAACAATTAATCAAACCAATATATACTGAGAGTTATCTACATACAAGCCACGGTATAAATTCTAAGTATAAAAAGATGAGTTAATTGGAGGGAAAACATGAACACATGAACAAATAATTGCAATGTCCTCATGTTTGGAGTAGTGCAGAAAACAATAAAATACAACTGAAATACAGAGACAGGGCAACTCACTGTGCTTGTATTTGGTAGGTGGACTGGAGTCCATGGAAAGCTTTTGGGAAAATGTTTATTTCTGCCGCATCTTGAAAGTCAAATTTAGGCAGATTGGTAGAAATTGATAGAGGCCTTTAAGGCTGATGGATGATCAGAATGTGCAGTTTTGTTGCACAAGCATTTTCTGAGTAGGTACAATGTACTAGGCACTCTGTTACATGCTAAGAATACAAAAATAAATAACAGCCCCTGATTTACAGGGATTTGTAGTCCAATGAACCCAATTGATTGATAAAGAAATACATGGAATAAAATAATAAAACTCCAGTTTATCATTTATTAGGCATTAGCCATATGCCTGGCACTGACATAAGCACTTTATATTCATTATCTCATTTAAATTCCTACCACCCGTGTCATAATTTGTGACACTGAGGTTTAGAAAAGTGAATTTGCCCAAGGAAATACAGCCAATAAAATGTGGAGGCTGAATTTCATCGAGAATACCACCCTTTCAGGGGAACATAGAAGAAAATAAGATTCTGTAAGCACATCCTCAAGGGTTTACAGCCTGCCCTTCTAAGTTCATATTTCATTTATTTTTGTAAAAACTGAGTTTAAAGGAAAAAGTCATGCTCAATAAGTTTATTTTTGAATGTAATTGAATTATTAGAAGCAGCTATGAGCCCTTCTCTATCTCCTGCAGAAGACATATTTCCTTTATCTTTTTTTGTTGATATATTTAAGGAGTTTAAAGATATCATTTATTTGTATCTTTAGCAGATTTATCTCATTTTTCCATTTAGCTTTTCTGATTTCTATCCTGGCAATCCTTCGTTATTTTCTGACATTTCACCTGCTGGACTAGCTTTTGCTTTTCCTGGTTCTTCCATCTATAAATCCATCTTTGGTATCATTAAAAAATAATCAAAATCAAATGACATTATAAATTGAATTTGAGGGAGAACCATCTTTGAAATTAGATACAAATTGTAGTGTTCAATTTTTAACTCCAGTTACCAGCAAGTATCTTGATTACTTACCCTCGGTAACCTCCCATTGGAACTAATATCAGTAACAAAAGGCCAAATAGTCTAGACCCTTTCAGATTATATGGTAAAGGGGGTCAAGCTCACTGTTGCTGAGAACAGAGAGCAGCTCAATAAATACGTGTGGAGGGAATGAGTGAAGAAGAGGCATATGGCCACATTTATAACTTTACATGGTTCTTGGTGAATTGCATCAGGGTTAAAATATCTATCTGGGGTCCAATAAGCCCTTATAAATACATTCCCAATGCAAAACTATAATTATATTTTCTTTGTAGCTGTGTTGCTAGAGATAAACAGGGAGTCTGAATTTTTCAACTTTTTACTACGCCATTTTCATTGGTGTTATGCGTGCAGAATCTCAGTGAGAAGCTATACTTTCAAGAGAACAAAAATTAAATATGCCAGGCTGAATCTGACAACAAACCAAAATGAATCCCATTAGCCAGCTGGACATCCTAAATGGAACAGTTAATCCTCTCATGTTGGCAATTCTTTTCATATCTGTTGGTGGCAGTACATTTTTGTGCAGAGTATCTAAAAGCTGACAGCCTGTGTGAAGGGTGATGGGTTGAACTCACCATTAACTGCATATGTAAGTTGCTATTCATCATTAATGTCATTGCCAATGACTGCATATAAACATCAGTGTATATAATTTCTTTTGATCTATGTGGTCATTTTTGAGAAAATTACCACAGAATTTCCAACTATCTCTTATTTATGCTGTCCATTTTGTAATATCATTAAAATTAATATTAAAATATACTGTTCTGCTATTTTTATAAAGGCCTGAATAATTTATAATACATAAAGTCTATAATAATCCTATAGAGTAATACTAAAAATAGAAAATATGAGTTGCCTTTTTATTTGCAAATCATAATTCAAAAACACTAGTTTTGCTATATATGAAAAGCAAAAACTGTGTAATCATAAATATTTGCTTTCTCAAGGCAGATAGATTGTATTTAAGGAAAATACCTTTTTTGCAAAATGGTGGTCTTGATTATTAGAACCTTTGGTGCATTCATAATACATAGCGCACCATTTGGTTTCAGTTCTAAAAAATACGTATGAAACACTTGGGGATTTTATTGCTTAGTTACTCAAAATTAACTATAATGTCACATGATATTCTCAAAAGATAAATATGATTCATCCTAACTGCTGTAGTGCCCTCACTAGCAAGCTTATTTCAACAATGTGCATAATGGACCAATCCATGATATCTCCATGTAAAAATAAACTAGAAACACTGACAAATATATCTCAAAACCCCTAAAATTTGAGAAGACATTATTTAAATAAGCAAGAGCAGTTGACTTTACTTCCTCAACTATTACTACAGTTACTACTCCTACTGCCCCCATTAATATCTCTTCTACCACTACCAGCTCCTACCATATGTCGTGCTTTTAGTATGTGCCAGGCAGGCTCTATATGAGATGCATTACATCCATTATCACCCTTTATTTAATTTTCATAATCATTATATTGAGTGTCTACTTTTAAAAGTGAGGAAACTGCCCCAGGAGATAGGTAAATAACTCATGGTCAAATAAGTATTAGAAACCTGAATAAGCGTTGACCTTGGCCCTCAAAGAGTTCTCAGTCTAATGAGAGAAGTTGTCTAATGAGGTCAACCAGAGTTCAACTAAGAATTGTTGAAGGAAGCCAAATTGGCTATATATGATTTGGCTTTTCCTTTGCTCAAAGCCCTCAAACGTTCAGTGTTCTTCTACTCCCAAGGCCTCCTCTTGGAAATGAATCTGTTGTCTCTCTAAACTGCGCCTGTGTACATTCTAGTCCCTGTGTGTGGATGCCCCCGCCCTACCTTTCTCCTTGCCTCAGTGCCCTTCCAAGCTGAATTAAATGCTTCTCTAAGGTCCCTAGAATACTCTGTACATGCTTCTATCATGGCCCTTATCATGGACTTGTTGAAATTATTTTTGTTCAAGTCTCCCTTCCCCCAACTTCAGCCTACCTCAACTGTAAGGCAGGGATGTAAATTCGAGGTTTTTAGATCCTCACTGGTAAGCACATTATTATGATGAGCCAGTTTCTTGAAAAGTTCTTTTCCTTTGGCTTTATTTTCAGACATGCCTTTTGTTCTCCCCGCCTACCTCTCTGGTCAGCCTTTTTTTTATTTCCATTTTTAGGCAGTGGGCTTTGTTCCCTTTTCATTTATACTCTCTGTTGGCAATCTCTTTCACCTGCTTTGTTTCGACCATTACCACCTGCCAAGAATCAAGTCCAGGCTTTTTGTGTCAGTTTCCCCCCAAACATAGCCATTTGGATAACTCACAAATACCTCAACCTTAACATGTTGAAAACTTAACTATTAAACCTCCTCTCATTCCATCCTGGAATCATTCTTCCTCCCATATCCCATCTCAGTAAAAAGCATATGTTTCTACCCAGTCACTCAAATCCTCACACTCCATATCAAATCCATATCAAGGTTTGTTGCATTTACCTCCCCAAAATACCTGAAATCCTTCTTTCCTTTGCTCTTCATCACTAGCTCACTAGTCCATGCCACTATCCTCTGTCTCCTGAACACTAAAATAGCCTTTTAATTAGTGATTCTGTACCCACTCTTGCTTCTCTGCAACTCATTTCATTCCACACAAAAGCCAGGGAAAACCTCTTAAACGGTAAATAAGATCAGATAACTCCCGTGCTTAATTTTCTTACCATTGCCACGAGGATATAATAAAAGTTACTTAACATTTTAACTCTGAATTTCAGGGAGACCCCTTAGGTAGCCCTGCTCTCCGTTACCATCTTGATACCAATGTTACATAACAACCGATCAACAGCATACAATTCTAACTGAAAAGCCATTGTTTATTGGTATTTCCTTGAAAATTTTTATGGGAGATGGAATATAGCTTACCTCCAAATCAGTCAACAATAAGTCATTAAAATCCTGCTTAAATTGCCCAATTTTCCCCCGCCAAAACTGTACTTCCTGTGGATCATGCCATCTCTTTAACTCCCCTCCCTCCAAGCAATAGCCTTTCCTCAGCCCTTCCAGGCTATTTATTCTGCTCTCATCCTTACACTTCCACTTCCAAATCTTATCTAGGAGAATAGCATGCCTCCTGAGCAACGTAAAAACTAACAATAAGTAAGCCCAAACCCATGGCATCCTGTGGGTACTCAAGCACAGTTCTAGAACTACTGTAGTTCACACAGCCATCCCTGCCCTGCAGAGCCCTGCTTGATAACCTTGTGATGTCTCATCTTTTGCCACTGGATACTTTGGCCCTTGCTCACAATGCCCACCTCTTTCTCACTTCAGTACTTTTATACATATCGTTCCCTTTAAGAAAATATTCTTTTCCATATTCTTTGTACTACCAGTATATTAAATTCTGTTCTGTTATAGCTTTATTCTAAGGTACGTGAGAGCAGGGACTACGTCTGTTGTGTTTGCAAGTACCTCTCCAATGCCTAACATAGCGTCTAGCACATGGGTGCCATTTAAAGAAATGTACTGAATGAATGAATGAATAAGAGAGGGAATGAAGGAAACAAGTGAATGAAACATAAAAGGTAAGCTTTCAAATGACTGTGTCTTTGAAGTGTTTGAATTTTAAGTTTTACCTTTGTCTTTCTTAAAGAATATGCGGATATCAATGAGAAAGTGTGGGTTTAATTTGAATATGGTGTGTGTATATGCATTACTTCTTTTTTTCTGAGAACAGAGGTTACTTGCTTATTTCACTTATGAAGCCAATAGAACATCATCAGTAAAAATTAGAATTTATTTTCCATGTATGATTTCCAGTCTATATTCCTATTTTGGAAAGTTGTACTAATCAGGTTAAAAAACCACTAGTGATGGTGATTTTTTTTACCACGACTAATGATTAGCACAACCATTAGTTGTACCAGTCAGGTGTTTTTTTAACCTGATTAATACAACACACACACACACACAAACACACACACAAATATATATGAGATTCTCGTTTTTACATACTAATTGTAGCTTTCACATGTGATTATGAGAAAAGAGTGTGAATATGAACAACTGGTATTTTCTTTGGCACTAAGATAATCCTCTGTGATATGCAACATCTTGGACTTTAGCTATTTATTTTTTTGGGGAAATATTTCATACTGGTCAATTTAAATGTATGTAAAAGAGACCAAAAGAACTTCTGTAGCTCCGAAGAAAATTAAAAAATATTCATGCACAGAGAGCCATATATTTATGCCACTCTTTAGAAATACTGATGAAAATAGCTTTACTCACACTTCTAAGCAACTGCAGTTTTATCTGTGATTGCAATCTCTTTCTTCGGTCTTCAAAGGAATTTTGATGTGATGAGTGTCTGTGTATAAGTGTAAAAATGGAAGCATAGAAAAATGGTCATAGAATGGCAAATAACTCTTATGGACTGGGGCGTTTACTGGCCCATTGGTCAAGATTAAGACAAATCTACTTTGAAAACCCAGCTTGAAAGTTTCTGTCAAATTTCTAGCTGTGAATAGAAAAAAGGCTACCTGAAAGGGGTATAGCCACTTCAAAATATACCTTAAACTGGCATAACGCACGCTATATAAATGTATTTTCTCATTTCATTCACCTAACCTTCATTTGTCCATCCATTCATTTATTTAATTATGTGCTCATTCAGTAGATATTTCCTGTGGACCTACTCTATTTCAAACAGTGTACAAGTTATTTGGATATCACAACAAATAAAGTGGATATATATTCTGGCCTCATATTCTCTAGTGCTTAAATCTATTGGAGAAAACAAACTCTGTAAACAAATTGTTACACAAATATTAATGATCTGAAATAGTAGCGAGTGATATAATGTATAATTGCAGAACACTAATGCATGATGGGAGGGGGGATACAATCTAGTATTATGCAAATTCAGATAGTTTTTCTCTGGGCAAGTAATATTTTATATCAACCCTGGTAGCCAGGTAGAAGTTGGCTTAGGGGGGTGGCATAGGAGTGGGTGGGGAGGGAAAGTATCCCAGATAGATGTAGTAGCACATAAAAGGTCTCTCTGAGGCAAGAAGGAACATGGAGTCATTATAGCTTCCTCGCCCATTCAAGCCTCTAGAGGCTACACACATACCTTAGCTTTTATTTTCTGAGCCAAGAATGTTGTATCTCTCTGTGCCTTTCTACTATAGCTGTATCTTTCTCAAATTCTCCTATTCTGTCTCCCTGTTTTGCTTGTAAAGGTGCTTGTGATTACATTAGGTTCATAGGAATAAAGAAAGAAATGTTTTTCTAGTTTAATATCAGTTGATTAGCCACATAATATCCATCTGCAACACTTTGCCATGTAAAGTGACATACTTACAGGTTCTGGGGATTAGGATATGGACCTCTTTGGGAGCCATTATGCAACTTGAAATAAACATGAACAATGTATAGGATAGAGAATCAACTGCAGTTACTGATTGATTAGATGTGGTAAAAGATAAAGAGGAAAGTATCAAAGATGACTGTTAAATCTCTGGCTTAAGCACATGAACACATAGTGCTTCTGTTTACTGAGACAGGAAAAAAGGAGGGAGAATAAGTTTAGGAATGAGGTTGAGATTATGAGTTCAGGTTTGGGTACGTAAAAGGGAGAAAGCCAGCCAAGTGGAGATGTTCAGTAGGCAATTGGATATATGAGTTTGGGGCTAAGAGGAGATATTCGAGTCAAAGATATAAATTTTGAATAATTGGTGCATAAAGGACAATTGATACAATAGAGATCATCTGCAGAAAGGATATTAGAAAAGACAGTGTAGGACTCAGAGTAGCCATTATTCCTACCCTAAGAAAGTCTGTTTATGGGGGCTGGGTGTGGTGGCTCATGCCTGTAATCCCAGAACTTTGGGAGGCCGAGGTGGGCAGATCACCTGAGGTCAGGAGTTCAAGACCAGCCTGGCCAAGATGGTGAAACTTTGTCTTTACTAAAAATATAAAAAAATTAGCTGCATGCAGTGGCAGGCAACTACAATCACAGCTACTCAGGAGGCTGAGGCAGGAGAATCGCTTGAACCTGGAAGGCGGAGGTGGCAGTGAGCCAAGATTGTGCCATTGCACTCCAGCCTGGGTGACAAGAGAGAGACTCCATCTCAAAAAAAAAAAAAAAAAAAAAAAAGAAAGAAAGAAAGTCAGAAAGTCTGTTTATGAACCATTAAGATTCATTTGGCTTTCTGCTTCCTTGACTCCAGGTAGGATTTCAGGTAAAACATAGAAAAATAATTATACATCTTGAACTTAACCACTTCCAGGGAATGAAAACTCCATCATAACTGATACAAATTATTCCTGCTATACAATTATATTACTAACTGTCCTGTAAGGGGACAACATTATTTTTTAAGAAAAATAACATTAAAAACTATGATGAAAACCAGGGGAACATGAAGCAGGAACGTATAACTGCTTTCAAAGGATTGTTATCATCATCTTTTCCAGGCAAGCAACTGCTAAAGGAATGTGTCATCACTAGCCTAGCCTATAAGAGATCTTTAAGGGATTCCTAAACACAGAAAGGAAAAAGCAATACCAGCTGGGTGCTGTGGCTCATGCCTATAATCCCAGCACTTTGGGAGGCCAACGTGAGTGGATAGATTGAGACCAGAGGTTTGAGACCAGCTCGGGCAGCATGGCAAAACCCTATCTCTAAAAAAAAAAAAAAAAAAAAAAAAAAATTAGCTGCGCATGGTGGTGTGCACCTGTAATCCCAGCTACCTGGGCTACCTGGGAGGCTAATGTGGGAAGATCCATTGTGCCTGAAAAGTCAAGGCTGCAATAACCTATGATCATGCCACTGCACTCCATCCTGGGTGTCAGAACGGGACCCTATCTCAAAAGAGAAAAAAAAGAGTGGTACCTTATACCACAAAACCACACTTCAATACATAGCCCACAGGACCTATAAAGCAACCATAGAATAGAAACTACAAAGAAACCAGCTAATGACTTCACAATAAGATTAAAAGCTTACATGTCAATATTAACCTTGAAGGTAAACGATCTAAACAACCCACTTAAAAGACTTACAATGGCAAGTTGTATACAAAAACAAGACCCATTTTTCCTCTGTCTTCAAGAGACCCATCTCACATGTAATGACATACATAGGCTGAAAGTAAAGGGTTCAAGAAAGATCTACCTTGCAAAAGGAAAACATAAAACAGCAGAAGTTACTATTCTTATATCAGATAAAACAAACTTGAAACCAATAACGATTTTAAAAAAAAGACAGAGAAGGACAATACATAATGTTAAAGGATTCAATTCAACAAGAAGAGTTAGCTATCCTAAATATATATGAACCTGAGCACCCAGATTCATAAAACAAGTACTTCTAGACCTACAAAAAGCCTCACATGGCCACACAATAGTAGAGGGGGACCAACTGACGGTATTACAAAGATTATCAAGGTACAAAATTAACAAGTGAATTCTGGACTTAAACGTAACATTTGACAAATTGGACCTAGTAGACATCTACAGAATACTCCATCTATCAACATCACAATATAAATTCTTTTCATCTGCACGTGGAACATACTCCAAGATCTGCCCAGGAAGTAAGTCTCGATAAATTAAAAAAAACTCAAAATCATCCCAACCATACTCTTGGGTCACAGTGGAATACAACTGTAAACCAATACCAAGAAGATCTTTTAAAACCACACAATTGCATGGAAAACAAACAACTTGCTCCTGAATGAATTTTGGGTAAACAACAAAATTAAGGCAGAAATCAAAAAATTATTTGAAATAAATGAAAATAGATACACACATACAAAAATTTCTGGGATGCAGAAAAATCAATGTTAAGAGGAAGGTTTATAGTGCTGCATATCTACCTCAAAAAATAGAAAGCTCTTAAATTAATGACCTAACATCACACCTAGAAAAACTAAAAAAACAATAATTAAACCCAACTCTAGGAGAAGAAAAGAAATAACTAAAATCACGGCAGAAAAGAAGGAAATATTGAGACCCAAAAATGCATCCAAATAATCAGTAAAACCAAAAGTTGGTTATTTGAAAGGATAAGCAAAATTGATAGACCACTAGCCAAACTTCCATTTGACCCAGCATTGCTATTACTGGGTATATATCCAAAAGAAAATAAACTGTTTTACCAGAAAGACACATACACTCACATGTTCATCACAGCACTATTTACAATAGCGAAGTCATGGAATCAACCTATGTGCCCATCAACGGTGAACTGGATAAGGAAAATGTCATACATATATAACATGGACTACTACACAGCCATAAAAAAGAATGAAATCATGTGCTTTGTGGCAAGGTGGAGCTGAAGGTCATTATACTAAGTGAATTAACGAAGTACCAGGAAACCAAATTCTGCATGTTTTCACTTATAAGTGGCAACTGAACGATGAGTACACATGGACATAAAGATGAAAATAGACACTGAGGATTACTAGAGGGAAGTAGGGAGAGGTCCAAGGTTGAAAAGCTACTGGGTATTATATTCAGTACCTGGGTGACAGAATCAATCATATCACAAACCTCAGCTTCATGCAATATACCCAGTTAATAAACCTGTTCATGTACCCCTTGAATCTAAAATAAAAGTTGAAAAAAACTGGAAAGAATGCCTGTATAAACTAGATGAATGGAGTAAAATATCTCCCACTTTATTTTCTATAACATCTTCAATTCTTAGCAACATCATCCTTACCTATTTCAAGAGATGGTGTCCCAGACCAATAGCATTGGCAATCACCTGTTAGAAATGCAAATTTCCAGGCCTCGCCCCAGATCTACAGAATCAGAAATTATGAGGATGAGACTCAGACGTCTGTATTTCAACAAGCCATCCAGATTAATTTTATGCATACTAAAGTTTGAGAACCATTGGCTTAAAGCATAAGAACTATTTTATTTACATGTGAAGAACCTTGGTTTATATACCTATTCACATGAGCAATTTATTGGTACACAGTTTTATTTCTTAATCCTGATGCATCTCTTGTCTAGGTCCTTATAAACATGAGTTTCTCTACAAGACCCCACTCTCTTTTGTTCCCTTTCAGAAATTTGTTACTCTTTCAAGACTTGCAAAGAGTGAAGATAAATGTCTTTTGCTGTGGATAGTATGCTGAGCACTACTGTTGTGTTTATACTAAATCACAATACTTTATATGGTATTGATACTTCCAAATTAGTTGCTTTTATTCCCAGGGCTCATTGCCAGAAATCTGTCTGAACTGGGTCTTGTCATGTATCTCTTTAAAAATTTTCCTGGTGGCTTCTCCCTGCCTCTCATCTTTATTTCTTTTATAGCTTTTTCCTTGCATGCTGTTTACCTTTCTCTGTTCTCTGACTTCTCTGCCAGGATCTATAATAATTTTCTTGATACACATTTACAAACCTTTGCCCTTATGTATAGTTTATGTAAGATGGTGCTTATGTACAGAAAAAAAGATATATTGCACAAATAATAGGAAAGGGGATGTTAATCTTATATTTACCAAATTTCTAATATCCAGTTTTCAAGAGAATGGGATGTAGAGTCATAATGCCTGGGCTCATATTCTGTCTTTGTTGCTTACTTCATGAGACTTTAAGCAAACTATTTTAACAATTCTGAGCCTCAGTTTCTGTATCTTTTACAATAACAGTACTGCCCTCAGAGGGTTTCTGGAAATACTGAAAAAGATATTGACCATAAAGTGCTTAGCACAGTACCTGGTGCATGGTAAACACAAAATAAATATTGGCTATTTTTATAAAGAAGAACAAGAACTTTTTGGTTTATAAGCCCATTTGATATACCCTAAAGACATTCTTCTTTATTACCTAACAGCTCTTCACTGTAGGCTCAAATTAAGTTGATGATGACATAGTAATTTCCAAACTTTGTTTTATTCTCTAATATGATTTATAGCTAATAATTTTAAAAACTACCTTAACCCTAGTGAGTACTCAATAAATACTGGTTAACTCAATTTTATAGTAATATTTTTATAATCAATATATTTATAATCCACCGAACCCATTTAATTGCATTATAGTCATTCACTGTTATTAACTTTGAATATTAGTACTCAAAGCTAGATATCTTTTTCCACCCAATATCTTTTCTGTTCCTCAAAGCATTTTGAGTTGCAGAATTTGTTTTGATTCTTGGTTAGACTACAAAAACTGTCTTCATTTTCCTTAGGAGTTTGACTGATTAATGGTTCAATAAAAAATTTAGGGAAGACTTTTTAAATTAGCAAAAATGACTAATTTCAATATTTAGATGAATGATTGGCATTGTAATCAGTTAAATGACATCAAAAGGTTTAAACTAAAATGCTTTACATTACATTTGTGATTAGCATACAACTCACCATATTTATATTTATTCCACCTAGGAGGTAAAGATGTATTATTTATGAATTTGATTCCTCTTTCTGCATGGAATATTAAGACTAGACATATATAGAGATATAAAAGAAAGTGCTGATTTTTATCTAACAATAATAGAAAAACCTTGTGGCAAAAATATTTCATATTTAAAGGGTAGAAATTGTGATGGACTGATTTATTTATACTATTTCACAAATTTTAAAGCTGAATCATTAGTTTTGTTAGACTCCTAAAATATGAGACAAAGATGAGTACATTCTCCTGAAAAAAAAATAGTATCGGAATAAAAACTGTAGGAATATACTTCTGGTAAACTATTTATATAATGTTTTGGTCCTTAAACTATTACCCTGGAAGCAAATTCACAGTTCTGATTAATGTACTTCACTTCTCTCCCACCCCACATCTACACACACAGCAAATCAGTCAAATTATCTACAAAACATATTCAATAATTTTCCTTTGGATATTGCAAAAGCCTCTGAACTGATCTCTTGCTTACATCCTCATTGCCTAGAATCCATTCTTCCCACAGTAGGGAGAGTTAACATGAGTATGATAATATCAAACCTCCAGACACATTCAGGAAAAAATCCAAAGTACTTTTGTAGCCTAACCTGTAAGTTTTCCTTCCACTCCATGTTTTACCACCACTACCTCTTGGCTCTGACCTCCCCTCTGACAATTTTCCTTTCACTAACTACACCATCAGAATGGCCCATTTAGTAGTCTTCAAACACCTAAGCATACTCCAAATGGTTTTTCTCTGCTTAAGAGCATCCTCCCCAGACATTCACATTGCTCACGTTTCATTTTACTCAGATCTATGCTCAAATCTGACCTCTCCAGATTGGACTTCTTTGATTGTTAATTTTAGGTGTCATCTTGAATGGAATAAAAAAATAGCTTGAGAACTGGCAAGATATCATTTTGGGGTATGTTTGTGAGGGTGTTTCCAGAGAAGATTAGCAAGTGAGTCTGAGTGGACTGAGCAGGGAAGATCCATCCTTAGTGTGATCCAATCTGCTGGGCGCCTGATAGAACAAAAAGAGACGCAAGAGGAATTGGCCTCTCTCTCTCAATCTCTCTGCTGAACTTGGAAGACATTCTTCTCCTCCTGTCCTTGGACATCAGATTCTTTGACCTTGGGACTCCAAGACTTATACCATTCCACCTCCCCACCCCACCATCACCCCGTTCTCAGGTCTTCAACCTCAAACTGAGAATGACATCGTTGGCTTTCTTGGTTCTGAAGTGTTTAGATTTGGACTGAGCCTTGCTACTGGCATCCCAGGGTCTCCAGCTTGCAGATAGCCTGCCCTGGGACTTCTCAGACTCCATAATTTCATGAACCAGTTCCCCTAATAAATCCTCTATCTGGAAGAAATTACCCTAATAAATCCTCTCTCTCTTTCTCTCTACCCGTATACATCTGTCTCTATGTCTGCCTATCCATTCCATTGGTTCTCTCTGGAGAACCCTAAAACCCCTTCCCTGTTCATCTTTTTTTAAAATTGTAATTCTCTATCATTTTTAATACTTTTAATCTGCTCTATTTTTCTTCATAATACTTTCCTCTATTTTGCTTACTATGTTTTTTACTTGATTTTTGACTGTTTTCTCCCACTACAATGGAATCTCCATGAAAAGAAAACAAGAGACTCTCTATTTTATTCACTATTATTAGGTCCAGGACATCAATCAGTGCCTGGCACATGGTAAATACTGAAGGAGAACAGGAAATACTATTTCAAAATATGGCTCCCTGGTATAATGAATATTTTAAATTAAAGTCCTTTAGAGATCAACAGATGCTAGAAGAGACTTTTCACTTATCCTCTACATGAAGACCAGGCAGACCCACCAAGGAGAGGAACAATTGCCCTCCCCACCCCCTGCCCCCACTGTTTTTCAATCTTCTACCTCTCCCAAAGCACAGGCTGAAGTTCCCTTATCTGTCTACAGTCTGGTCACACCAAAGAAGAAAAAAATCTCCTCTATTTCCTTTCTTGAGTTTTCATTATCAAAACCCACATCACAGGAAGGAAGATTAAAATCTGTCTAAAACCTAGGCAGACTTTTGTCACAAAACATTGTCTACTTTATGGATCCAATAGTCTTGGTCCTAGACCATTTTATGTTCTTCAAGTCCATCAGTTCCGCCTAGAAGTAATTTATTGCTCCTTTTCAAAATTCCTCTTCTCCCCTCTCCTGTAAACTGTTTTGCCAGGATCCAAGCCCTCATTCTTTCTGTAACCTCCAGATGGTATGTAAGCTTCTGCACCCCATTGAGTGAGTTGGGTCTTCATTCTGAGGGCTCCCATGTCACATAAACTATGATCCAATACATTTGTATGCCTTTTTCTCCAATTAATCTGCCTTTTTGGAATGGGTTTTCAGCAAACTTTCTGAAGGCGAAGGGGATGCTTTACTTTCACCCCTACAGTACTGGAAAAATAAAATGTTTGTTGAAAAAAAATGCTGAATGATAGTCTATCGAATTACTTATGTGTTAAAAATACTAGATGCTATTACAATAAAATAAGTTTAAAATAAATTTATTTTTATTACATTATGACTAATTCCTTTTTAAAATAGTAATAGGGGATATTTATACCTTTCTTTCTCCCTTACTATCTTGATTAATATAGAGTCAACCATATTTATCAAAAATGGTGTAAAAATAAGCTTGTCACTTTTGACCCTATTATTTTATATAAAATCTACAAGTCTCCAAGGTATATTTGAAAATAAACCTTGTCTTCACTTTGTTTCAACTGTTTCTAAAATTCTTATTTTTTCTTCCCCCAAATCTATGGCTTATAATCATAGGTATTCCAGTTGTGAAAAACCAGGATTAAATGGATTAAACGTGGATTAAATGGATTATGATTCTTCTGTTGAATCATAAATCCTTTCATTTTTCCCATTTTTCTTGACTATACTAATACAGCTTGAACTTTTTTGGGTTGATTAATATCCTCTGAAACATGAAATTGAAGGAAAAAAAAGAGTCACTAAGTAGACTATTGATACTATGATCAGTTTAAATGAAATCAAATGAAGGAAATGACATTCTCTTACTAATTTAATGGTGGTGTAAATTGGATAACTTCCCCGGAGAGCAATTTGTCAATATGTATAAAATCCTTAATCACATGCTTGTTACAAAAATTCCAAGTAAGTAACTGGATGAGTAAAACAAAGATGCGTGCTTAAGTATTTCCATTTTAAAATATCCTATAATAGTGAAAAGTGAAAAACAACACATCTGGGGACTAAATAAGTAGCAGTGCAGGCATAAAGGAGATATTATACAATCATTAACATTTTGCTGTGGTTACATTAATTAATATGAAAATGACATTTCATATAATGTTAGGAGAAAAACATGCAAAACTGCATATAGATTATGACCCAGTTGTAAATATATCTATTTTCATATCATTAAATAATTTTTGTTTTGTAAAGAAAGGCACGGAAGTGTTAACTGACACCAATGTGCAGAACTCCTTTTCTTTTTATTTGCCTAATTCAGGCAGTTTAATAATCTCTAGTCTCATGACAATTTTTAGGTATAAACACATTAAGGGCGAGGAGTGATATCATCTAGCCTGACTCAGAGATAAAATTTGGAAATAAATCAAGTTTATCTTTGATCTCTTATCATCTGTCTTTAAGCATCTACTCTAGCTTTCCGTTTTTCTTTTCTTTCCCATTCTGCCCAAATCAGTCCTCACAGCAAGAAACCTACATTTCTATATTCTTCCATAATCTTCTAAAGTTGCTTATTAAATAGATACTGCCTTAGAATCATGGTGGGATTGTTCTTTTATATTTTATTCATTCTAAAATTACTTTTCTAGGAAATGCAGAAATCTAAAGGAATCATCCTTTAGGAAGTATTTTTGAGTAATTAATCTTGGACAGCTTAGTAAGAACTGTTTTGTTGTCTGGTTGCTGGTGAAGAGAAGTTGTACTTTGCCAAGTAGTAATTTACATGTAAATAGCAATCACCAAATAGCAACAAGAGCATAGCAATAATCATGCAGCTGTTTGCATATCATTTGCTTCTTAGGGACCCCCAAGGAGAAACATAAATGAATAACCATGGACAAATTGATCTATTTTGTTTGGCTGTAGTAATATGTGTTTCTAGCTTAACCTGTTTCCAGCTGAGAATACAGCAATCGTGTGTTTATGCTGCTGGACAATTCCAAACCAAGCCAAATAAAAGTTTAGGATAATATCTTCAGTGGCTGTTCTATGCCTCTTCTTTTTCACAAGAGGCATATGTAAGTGTTCCTTGGTGAGTGACATTCAAAGAATGTCTGGTATATTCTTTTTTGTTTTTTTTTTGAACCAGTCTTTTAAAAAGGAGACTAAAAGTTCACACTTTGACATGGTTAATGTAGAAAATGTACATGGCTTATGACGTAGAAATTTAAAATGCCAGATACAGGTTTTCAACTTTTTTCTAGGTAAACAATGTAATTTGAAAAATCCAAAGAACTTTATGTGAATAATGCTTTTTAGTTACTAAAAGCTATTCCCTTTCCCATTTTACAATTCTAAAGGAGAAATTTTTAACAATTATACATAAAAAATTTAAAAAGATGGGTATTCTTGAAAAGAGAAAACACATTCTATGCATTAAAATGGCTTATTGTACTCCCAAGCCTTTGATTATGGTCAATTTTGTCAACCTTTATTTAGTCAGGTAATTGTGTAAACCATAAAATATGACACTAATATAAAATCAATTTCCAAAATGAAAAAGATGTATTAGTTAAAATCCAAAGTAATTACAAATCCTCATTAACTCTGTACAGCTGAAGACAATAGATAAGTCTAAAATTCTGCCTGGCTTCAAATCAATTACTTGTTATTGAATAGTTTGTGAGCAGTAATTTATTATTGATTCAAAGAGTCATTTGCATTTTATATCAATGTCATTTTCTTATTTCTATGACCAAATAATAATAGATAGGCATAGTTAAAAGAAACTATAGTGTAACGAGCAGTACTGCCTTTCACATCTTTTTTTGATATTGATCACAAGAAATTCGGGATCACAGTAGAGGTTAGCAAATTTCATTCTGCTGTCATGAGCAACAGCCTAGTCCAAAGGTAGTGAGGGAATCTCCTACACTACCCCAACAGTGTACATTCAGAAATGTTATTAAAAAGTAAATTTAAAGTGGTTATTTTAAAAGCACATGATATACTCAAAAGTGATACAAATTTACTTAAAAATAAATACATATTTATCTCATACCATAGATTTGACGTTAGATATTATCTTCAATTTTGACAAATCTCTGTACATTATGTGTTATTATGCCCATTACATGGAAGGGAAAAAAAAAACAACTGCGAGGTTAAAAAAGTTAGAGAAATTTTCCCAGTTCGTGTTGAATTCACGACAGGAATCTGCTACACAGGCCAAATCAGTATCACAGAGTAAGTCAGGTTCTCCTATGTAAACTAATGAGACAAATAGCCCAAGATACATTATACATTAATGCCGTAGTGGAGAAGTACGGTATTCAATTGACTTATTCATTCACTTATTCAAGTAAATGTTATCCACTTATTGAATAACTAATAGTTGTTAAGTAAAATATAGTGTGTTGAAATAGAATGCCATTCTTTACAAAAAAAAAAATGCCCTGCAAAAGTTAGTGTACTGATTTTGCAATAACAATTTTAGACTTTCAGGTATTCTTCAGTCCTGTTATTCTTAAGTCCAGCTATTATGCCTGATACAAAGAGATTTTCAGGTGGTGAAGGTAATTTTTACCAGAGTGAGATATTGGAAGTGACCCTGTGGCAAGTGGATTAACATTGTTGAGCATATGCTATGTGGTAGACATTTTATATGTACTATTTCACGTAATCCTCCCAGAAACACTATTTTGCAACAGATACTATCAGGCCAGGAAACTTCATAGATTTTGTGTTCTGCTATTTTTCTTCTCATAGCAGAGTTCCATAACATAAATAAGACACTAGAAGCATAACAAGTGGCAGTTGGAAAGAGCATTATTTATTTCCAGTATTTTGCAAGACAGGGACTGAAAGTACAGGGATGTGGCTCAATCAGTGTCACAAAGCAGATCAGTGCTCAAGATGGAGTAAGAAATACCAGAACCCAGGTCCTGAAGTTATTCAAAAAATGCTTTTGAGTGATGGTACGTAGAGTGATTTTAATAGACACACAATGTTTTTGCCTAAAATCTACTTCCTTTTCAGAAGACAGTAGGTCCTTTTGCCAGGAGAAAAGAAACATATGCTTATTTCAGTATTTGCTTTTATTTTTTATTTTATTTTTTAACTGAATACAAGTCTAACCAAGCAAGCAAGTAGTGCTGACCATGTGACTTTGATAGACACATTTACTGGCTGGAAAGAAATCAGAGAAGCTGAGAATTTCTTCAACTCCTACCTGTGATGTTCTTTCAAGGCAGGCAATTCAATTTGCACTATTATCCCAAAAGAGCTTCTTGGGAGCTATTATCCAGTATTTCATTCACTTTGCTATATACCAATGCTTTCTCTTTATAGTAAGTTTAAATCTTTTATTTTACTTTTTTTTAAATCAACAATTCAAACTTGTAAGAAGAAATGTGAAAAATCTACATGTAAAATAATGTAAGACTTGCCTTTCAAAGATGAGATTAGTCAAGAATAATAGATTAAGAGGAAGAAAAAAGATATTATATTATCATTATACAGGTAAAATAAAATTGTAATAGGCAATTATATTTCTATTTGTCTCTCAGAAGCTATTTTTTATAACCTAGAAAAAAACAGGTAAGGAAACAAACTGGGTTTATACTCTTTTTTCTCTTTTTAGGTAACCAAGTTCATTAAAAAGTCTTTTTTTTTTTCTAATTCCCTCTGGTAATCAAGCCAGTAATCAGTGATACCTGAATATACTATGTTAGTACTCTTCTAAGTCCAATTTATAATCACCAAATTTTTTTTATTAGATAGGATATTTTCCATGCTCTACAGGTTGTTTTGCAAGTGACAATTACATAACATCAATATGAAGGCGACTTCTTTTTGCTTAACTGGTTTATTAATACATTTAGTTTTGCCCTCAGCAAGGTAAAATGTATTTTCTCTTTTATATAAAACTGCTGTTTGTTGAGTGAATTATGGATGAATTCTACTGACCCAGCAGTCAGAAGAACTCTTTCCTCTGCTTGCTGGTACTGATGGATCTCATATGTGACTTTTTGATATAAGAGCAATCCAGCCCCAGAGAACCTAAACTTGGGCCAGATGCCAAGAGTTTATTGCTATTCTGGCTGAGGGACTGTCTTAGAGTACTAGAAGAATGGAAAGGCAGGAAGAGGTGGTTCTTCTCCAAAAGCATTAATGGCTTCAGACAGATCCATCCAACAAATTCTCTTCTTCATCCCTCTTGTGGTCATTGGCCTGAATTTTTCATATGAATGGCTTGAGGTAATACATGAATGTAGAACCAGATTCTTTCTTTCATGCACACCTCACTGGGCCATATATGAATAAATTTCTTAGTTTCTGAGTTTCAAAACCCAAAATACCTTGTAACATTTTAAAAACAATATCTAATTTTCCATTTAAATAATTATTTCCAATCAGGCATATAGGAAAAAATAGAACAATCTCTCAAATTCCACTAACATTTTATGATTTAAAAATTATATTATAATTAAAAAATAGGTCTTTTACCAAAACATTCCTGCTATAAACTGAGCATATGGTCTCATCTTACAGGTTTGGGGCACTTCTGGGAAAAGAAGACAGAGGTGTCCTATTTCTCCTACCCCAACCTCTCTGTTACATTTACATTCTGCTGGCGTGTTCATGTGTTAAATCCTCCATAACACTCCAGGAAACAACATGCTTCAAATATATACTCAACTTCTTCCCCCAGGACAGTTCTCTCTCAAAGTTTTGAATTGTTTTTTGTTATTACATCAAGTTTTGTTTTTTTGGTGTGTGTGTTTGTAGATGCCCTTGCATAATAGTCACTCAATAAATGTTTTCTGATATTGATCAAAATGAGCTAAATACAAATAATATCTTACTCCTTAATTAGTCTTAATAGTTGATGGGAATAAGAAGACAACTTGTAGTCACCACATAGGAAAAGCATAGTAGGAACTAAAGCCATTTTGCTAACAAACTAACTTGAATCTCTAGACTGAAATTCTCAAGATGCAACCAGGTTTATGCCACATTAATCAGAGTCTCTTTCTTTCTTTCTTTTTTTTTTTTTTTTTTTTTTTTACTGTATACCTATAGCAGTCTAGAAAATTCATGTAGTCCTTCTCTGAGGTTTGGCCATGGGAGAGGAGGCAGTCCTAAAGAAACTGACTGGTGGTGAAGACTAATGGTGTCAGCGCAATCCAATAATGGGGACACCCATGGAGCTTCCACAGTCAGAATGGTGGGTGGAGTGGAGTGGGACAAAAGGTAGGCAGTTCTTACCTGTCTTTGTGAAATGATAACATTAATATCGACTTCACAAAAACATTTGAGAGTATTAAATGAATTAATTTATAAAGCACTAAGCATAGTGACTGGTACACAGCAAGTGCTCATTATCTATTTGTTGAATGAATGAATGAGATGACATGTAAATTGAGTCTTAAAGGATGAGCGAGATTTGTTGAATGGGGAAAGGAAGAATAGCCTTCTAACTATTCAAAAGAGAGCATTTTTCAAGGACTGACAAGTTAAGTTGTGAGCAGAAGGAAAAAAAACTTCTGTAAGAAGGGGCTAAAAATTTGGTCCCAGAGTTGAAGAACTTTTAACACACTACACTAAGCATTTTAAACAATGGACAAAGGCGAGCCCTGAAGGTTTGTAATTAATGTGATAATCTATCAAATCAGAACTTTATTAAAAAACAAAAAATATTTTAATGTGATTGAATTTTTAAAACTTCAAGTTATTTAATTGAGATTCATGAAAATCTTTTAAAGTTCTTCCTGCCACAAACTGTTTTAACTATCACATAAAACTGACACTTTGGAATATGATCCAAATACTGATTAAAAAACAGACTATATATGTATATCAGTGCCAGATCAATGACAGCTTCTAGGTATAGAATTAATCTTCCCTTGAGTTTACCCACAGAAACAACCTTAAGAAAAAAATGTTTCATCTGAATATTTTAAATCAAATTTTGATGTTGTCTCACAAAGATAACACTGTCTATTTTTGATCTCATACAGTGGAACACATCAGGTAGTTTTGTTTTAAACTGCTGAAAAATCAAATCTTGGATGCACGCCCAAAGTTCGAATACTTTTACCTATGCTCCAACCACTTAGTGGTAGAATAAGATACTTACATGGATGGCAGTTCCAAACAAATCAAGACCATATACATTCAAGAGGGATGGAAGAATAGATCTGAGGTCTCAAATGGCTCTACTTGAAAATTCAAGTTTTATGTAAATGGTAAGTTTTAGAAATGTACTTATGTTACACTCTCTTGGCAACAAGACCACATGAGACATACGCTAAAAGGTTTAAAAAAAGTGAAATTACATACATGGAGACTTTTGAGCTTGTGTGGAAACAAAAATCTGAGAAACTGATAGTTTACCAAGAAGGTAAAGTAATTTGAAGTGTTTATAATAATGTCAGATTTCCAAGAAATTGTATTGACTATAGGAATTTGTTTGCTGACAGAAATGTGACCCATTTAGATTAAGAAGTTAGAAAGAAGTGGGGAAAATTATGCATTCAGTATTGTCATATGCTATGTAATTCTCTGGTGGCAAAACCTTTCATTGTGCTCCCTTCATCCACTTTAATAACTTTTGAACAATACTGAGGCTCTGAATGCTAAGATTTTGGTGTTGGTACTTTTCAAAGTTTTTTGTTTGTTTGTTTGCTTGTTTTTTTCTTTTTCTTTCTTTTTCTTTTTTCTTTCTTGTTTTTTTTTTTTTTTTTTTTTTTTTTTTTTTTTTTTGGCATGGCATCCCTGGTTGGGCATTAAACCTTTCAAATGTTTATTTGTGACCTTGAAGATTCAACTTTAGTTTCAGGTTACATGGCGATACCAGCTGTATGATTAATATAGTAGCTACTAGCTACATTTTGCTCTTAAAATGTAAATTAATTAATACTTTACATTTATATGTAAAGTAATTTCAGTAAAACTGAAAATTTAGTTCCTCTGTGGCACTAGCTACATACCAAATGTTCAACAGTGGCTATGGTGTTGGACAGCACAGATACAGAACAGTTGTCTGATCACAGCAATATCTATCCGATATCATTAAAGAGAGACTAAGATTTGACTTCCATAATGAAAGACTCAAACAGGTTAAATAAAGAATACAATATTCTATGTTTAACTCTAATGACTAGCATAGAAGCAATCAAGAATTCTGTTACAAAGATATTTGATGAGTAGGATATATAAATAGACAATACTACTTTGATTTTGCTTTCTTCTTAATATAGATATATCACCTGAGCATAGCTATGCTCTTAATTTTCAGTCATAACATTATTAACTGGGAGTTAGTCAATTACTGTTGTTAAAAGGCACTCTTCCCTCTTCAATTATATCATTTTGCCCTCAGCTTTAAATTATGTCATGACCTTTAGTCTGAAACTTTCACTTCTTTATTTTTAAACTTAATTGTGCCATTTTATCAATCTCAAAATGAGCTGAACAATTTCAAGTAAAGAAAGATGTGCGCTGCCTATTCTCTATCTTCTCATATTTTTATTACCCTAGTTATGAGGAGTGAAACATGGCTGCCTATGTTTCATAATGCCATGCAAAGAAGTGAACTGTAACAAGCACCCTACCGTATCTCTAAGTAGGTGTCAGAAAATTACAGTTCTAACACCAGACTAATTTATAAGGAACTAAGACAACACAGGGATATATGTTACATTTTCGGTGTCTGATAGTTAATATCATTAATTCATGTTTTAAAATAGAATTTTTCTATTTTATCCATTTCTCTACTATTATCAGTGTTTATATCATCAGTGATATGCACTATGCTTCAGTAAAAAAACAAACTCTGAATCTCAGTATCTAAAAATAACAGAGAACTTTTTGCCCCTTATTCCTCAACATGTTCATTGAAGGTCAGCTGGAGTTCTGTTCTTTACTGTCTTCATCCTTATCTCTTTGGATGTTGGAATGGCCTCAGTCCATGTTGGTGGCAGAGGACAAGAACATGGTAAAGCAGTCTCTGGCTGTTAAAGCTCCTACCCAGAAATTACACAGGCATCTTCCACTCACATTTCATTGGCTAAAGCACGTCATATGGCCACACCTAGTTTCCAAGTCAACACGGAGGTGTAATCCCTCCATGTGCTGGAAAGGATAGAGTCAGAATATTTATGAAGATTCATGACTAGTACTGGAAAAATTGCAGCATTTAAAAAATATTTTCCTATACAACGTAGTGTAAACAAATAAGAAAAAGAGATATGTTAAGAAACTACTAAATTCACCAAACACAGGAAGACAAATACTTAATGATTCCACTTACATGAAATATCCAAAATAGTCAAATTCATACAATCAAAGACTGGAATGATGCTTACCAAGGACAGGAGTAGGAGCAAATGGGGAGATATTAATCAACAGGCATAAAATTTCGGTTAAGATGAATGAGATCTAGAGATCTTCTCTACAATACTGCACCTATAGTCAACAATAATGGATTGTACACTTAAATTTTCTTAAGAGGATAGATTGCATATTAAGTGTTCTTATCACAGTAAGAATAAAAAATTAATTCATAAGCAAAAGACACTGCAAGAAAGAAGATAAAATTGCAGTAGGTAAAATGAACAACATTATTGTCTCTTTTGGTAGAGAGATAAAGAATAGAATGAGATTGGGAATATTAACCTCGCTTGAACTATGAACCAAACTTTTCATTCTGAGAACTTCAGGGACAGATTTGTGTCTCTCTGCCATGCCTCTGGATCACAAAGATAACTTGGTTGGCTGACATATGCCTTTCATCATTTGTATCCTGCCTTTTTGAGATGTTGCCTCATCAGTCTGTTTCATTCAGACTCTCTGTCATTCCATTTTTTCACTGTCTAAAGTGAATTGGTAACTGGAGAATTTAACTGAAACAAAAAACGGCACTGGTTTTAAAACAATATCTATACAGTCCCACAAAAGTCAGTTAAGTGGAAAAAGGTTAGTCTAACCTTTCCCTCTCCACTCCCCAGTATCTGATTTTGGGTGTCATTTATAAACAGTCTTGATATGAACAGGTTCTACCTTAAATCCAATGTATTTCTCCCTCTCTTTCCCTTGGTAAACCTATATAAACATGTTCTGGTACAGAAAAATTTGGGATTACAAGTTTTCTTTGTCTTTACATTTTTTTTTTTTGCATTAACACTTCAAGAAAAGCTATATTCTAGTGAAGGACAGGACTTGAAATCTCTTTAATTCAATACTCAATGGACTGCACTATCAGGAGTATATGCATAAATGCCAAAAGATAATAACATGGCATTATTGATGCTACCAGAGGCTTACCATTTTCAAATAAACCATCCCAGGCTGAAGTGACATCAATCCCACATTTCACTGTTGTGGCAAATGGTTCCCCTGACTCTGTGGCTTCTATCAATCTCTGATTCTAAAGATGCAATTGGTGGAATCAGATTTGTCATTGGACATTTAATTAAATACAGAGCCCTTCAAGGTACAATTGATAAGCAAATATAAGTTATTTTCCTCTAACTATAGACAATTATAGTTTCTATTATGGATTGCAAATTAGATAAAGGGTACCTTATTCTCATTATATGGTTTATAAATAGATTGTTCTGTGTTTTTTTCTCTTCTAGCGCATTTTATAACACCTAGTGAGAAAACTCATATCTAAGGTCATTCATGAACTGAAATGTATCTTGTTTTTAAAAAATTCAGAAAATTGCTTAACCATGTATCAGAAAAAAAAATAGCAATCCTATATTATTGGAAAATATCAACTTGGATAGAATTTCTTATAATTGCCCTTAAAATATGACACGTCTACAGGTGCTCTTGTTTAAATAGTGTTCCTTTATAAACTGTCACTCTAGTACAATTTACTTAAATGCTAAAAATTTGGCATTATTAGATTTCTAGAACTTATAGAGAAAATTCTATTTTGCTTATTTATGTTTTATCTTTTCTTTTTCTTTTCTTTTTTTTTTTTTTTAGATAGGGTCTCACTCTGTCACCCAGGATGGAGTACAGTGGCGCCATCTCTGCTCACTGCAACCTCCACCCACTGGGCTCAAGCCATCCTCCCACCTCAGCCTCATGAGTAGCTGGGACTATGGGACTACAGCAACACGACACCATGCCAGGCTAATTTTTTGTATTTCTGGTAGAGACAGGGTTTCACCATGTTGCCAGGCTGGTCTTAAAGTCCTGAACTCAAGCAATCCACTCATCTCGGCCTCTCAAAATGCTGGGATTACAGGCATGAGCCACCACACATGGCTATGTTTTGCCTTTCTAGTTAGACAGCTAGAATGTAGAAATGAGTGAGCTAACTCCAAAGCCAAGGAGAAATAAGAAATGAATGCCTTACATTCCATCATGAAGGTGAATAAAGCCGATATTGATATTTTTGTCACATCCTACATTGTTAGGTTGCGCCCTTAACAATTATCGGCATAATCGTTAAGTGCATAATACTTTTGTGCCCTTAATAATACTTTCGCATTTTATTCTGAATGCTTATTCAAGTACTAAATTCTATCTGAAGTATATGTTGAAATAAGAACAATTTTTTTCTCTCTCATTAACAAAGAATTATTGAGTCAAGTTTAGTTAGTATTTTTGTTAGAAGAAATAAAAAAAATAAGTGGAAGAGATAGTTGCCAGGAGTGTGTACCTCAGGAATGCCTGAAATACTATCATCCAGTGATTGATTCCTTGTTTGGGGGATTTTGTTTTGTTTTGTCTTGTTTTAGATGAAGTCTTGCTCTGTAGCCCAGGCTAGAGGACAGCGGCGCAATCTTGGCTTACTGCAACCTCCGCCTCCCGGGTTCAAGCGATTCGCCTGCCTCAGCCTCCCGAGTAGCTGGGATTACAAGCGCCTGTCAACACGCCTGGCTAATTTTTGTATTCTTAGTAGAGACAGGGTTTCGCCATGTTGGCCAGGCTGGTCTCGAATGCCTGACTTCGTGATCCATCCGCCTCGACCTCCCAAAGTGCTGGGATGACAGGAGTGAGCACTGTACCTGGACTATTTGGGGAATCTTTAAAAGGCAAATCATTCTAGCGTTATTTGTGATTTAATTTTATGGTTTGCTTTCCTTTAGTGATGACAGGCAAACACGGTGGCATGACAGAGTTCAGATGAAGGAGATAAGAATTTGGTCAAGGGTGTTGAAGTATCATTATAAAGTGGGAAGAAGTTTTTCTCCCCACTGATTTTGCATTTTTTCTAGAGCCAGCTCTCAAGACGATAATTTTATGCAAGAAACACAGAGCTAATATGCTGCAAATTACTTTGATCTTCCACATAGCAATGTGACATCAATTAAACATTATTGAACTTTGATATATACTAGATACAGTTGTGAGAAAATATACATTGCACTCTTATGGAGTGTGTAGAGTAGTTGCGATCTCTGTCAGTTTACATATATAATAATATAAAAGTTAATAAAATCATAATAAATGCTACAAAAGAATAATACATGATATTATAAAAATATGGACTGGCAGCATCAATGAGGGCATGTATGAGAACATATATAATGGGGACTCAAAGAGAAAGTGTTCCAAAGTTTAACTTCTGTACCCAGCCTGCTTGTTTCCCTCAGAGGATCTTGACAGAACTAAGAAAAATAGGATATGTAATGAGCTGAAATATTATATAGATTTATTAGTTCGTTTAGCAAGTATTTATTGAAGCTTTGTGCTGAAAATATGTGTCTCTCCCATTTGACCCTTTCTTTTCCTTCCCCACGCCATCCACCTTTCCTACCATACATCTCACACATCTCAATGATTGCATCTGCTTCCTACCTCAATCTCTTTCCACTTCCATGTAGCCCATACATGTTGGTCCAATGATGTTTTTGTAAAGCCAGTACTTATGTTGTATTTTATGCATTCTTTTGCTATATAGCACTAATCTCACTGAATTCTATCCAAGCTCAATAACATTTGTCACACAATGCTGGAACTCCTCTAATATTTTATCTCCCTACTCTCTATAAGATCAGGTGCCGTTCTCAGCTTGGCCTTCTGGGATTTGCACAAGTATGACCTCAAACTCTTCTCTAATTTTCTCACTCCTTTATTTATACACAAGTCTTCTACTTTCATCAAACCAATGCACTTCGAATGCCTTTACTAGCTTTACTTAGGCCTTTTCTTTACAAAAAAAAAAAAAAAATTATCCCCACTATTCTCTGTTTAGGTAAATTTGACTCAGCTCTCTAGGTTTCATCTAAAATAAACTTTGCTTTCTATAAACTATATTACATTTTGTGAAGAGTTTGATATTAAGCACACACACATGCATACATATATCTATATAGGCTTATATGTTAAAATGTATGTGTATACATTTGTATCACTGGAGTAGTAGGTCTTTGAAAATAAGAATTTTCTTTTACTTGTATAAACTCTATCGTTTGATACATAAATTTTTCATAACAATTTATTGATTGATGAATTTGTGGTGATATGGAGGAAAAGCAGTGCAATTATCAACTATCCAATGAGAATGTCACACTCAACTACACTATATAATAGTTTTTTTGTTTGCTTTTAGCCAGCCTTTAATTAAATTCTCAGAATTGGTTTTCAGTATGGTTCCCAAACATTTATCTGATTCTGCTGTATTTTGGAACCACTGAGATGTTTAGACTTCAAAAAAAAAAAAAAAAAAGAATACTATAGTTGCAGCATCTGGAAATAAGCCTGTGATTCTGTAATCTAATGCATTCTGGGATTTGCCAGAATTGTCATAATTAGAATATTTTAATATTGTTTATACCATGAAATTTTTTCATTAAGTCTATTGACCTCATGCTAAGTTAGAAATTATTTTTAATAAATAAGAATTTATCAACCGGTTGTCAGAAACTCTTGTATTTTACACTAGGGGCTTCTATTTCCCTCAAAATCTGCAGGATACCTGGCATGAAGGAAATAAAACTCTAATTTACTGACAAGTGTGTAAGCAAGGCAGGAGTGAGGAAAAAGTGGTCTTGGGGATACTTTTATTAGTCTAAGTTTATTATTAGTCCACTTTGTTAATGTCTAAGCTAGGTTCAAAACTAGAAACTATCAATCCATATTCCAAATCTACTAAATCTGAGTTAATTATTTTTTGAACTTTTAGATTTAGGCATAAATAGGTATGACTGTAGTTAATATGTCTTCCAACTGCCAAAATACTAAGTTGCTTTAAAAGTTGACTGCCTTATAGAGGTGGTTCAAGAACTCCCTTGAAAGTAAGATGTCATACAGTGAATACCAGGTGCTTCTAAAAACAGTAGGATATTTTACTTTTGTCTCATTGGAAACAACATTTTATATAAATATCATGTCACCTAATAACATTTTTCTATTACAGAGAGGGAGGCTATTATTATTATTATTTCTTCTTGTCCCCAGAAACAATTTAAAGTGATATTATAGGCAAATATCTCTAGTCAAATCTGGATAGTCTTCTCATCTTCCAAACAAATGTATTTCATTTTTTTGTTTGTTTTTAAGGCAGTAATGGTCCCTATTTTTTTCATTTATATAATGGTTTTACAATCATACAATGTACAATTTAAACTGTAAGTTCACTTTACAAAGGGATTCTGGCATGTATGTTGTTGTTTCTTAAATTACAACGGTAGAGTTTTCTTCAACATGCATGCTTTATTCCCTCCTCCCTCATTCCCTCAGAATGCTCCCTTTTCTTCCATTACAAAATGTCCCAAACCTAAGGGAAAGGAATCTTTGGTAAGGCATTAGAAATTAGCAAAATTTTGCATCACGCAGTCTAGCTATCTGCTTAGCTGACCTCTCTTCTTTTATTCCTGGATATCCAGCTAGATATCATATGCCGGTTAAGAATGCATTTTATAACTTGCTGTGCCATTTAGTGGCCCTTATTCTCTGATTACCTGGCAGTTAGCTGTGACTAGTCAACTGTGAGTGAAGGTGACAGCTGCCATTCCAGGTGTGGTCTATTTAAACTCCCATGTCACTTCCCTTTTAGTGGCTTGATGTAGAGATAACAGCAGCACCATCTGCAGTCCCTGAATCGCCCTTTGTGGGAAAACCGACTTCTGATCAGCAGCACTGGTTTGAACTTTACAGGAGCTGAAATCATGTTCATTCATGGTAAGCCTTATGATCTGAGGGCTAACTTTTAAAGGTAGCTAGTGTTCCATTAAAAAGTATACTTTGTTAGTATAATTAAGCATCAGAGTTCCACTGTAAAATGGGGCCAATGTTATGAGAGAAAGGCTTGTTTGACTAAGAGTTGTTTCCCTTTGAAGAACTTGCATGTGTGAAAGACTTGCTTTTAAGTGCAAAGGACTTGCTGCTGCATGGAGCCTTGGGCACTGCCTGGAAACCTGAAGACCTGGCTGGGAGGATTTTGCCTTGAATTGGAACCAGAACTCTAAATGGAGAATGGAGGGGTTGAGAGGTCTGAAACGATGAGACCTTGGAGAGTACAAAGGAGAGGAGGAAAAGGACTAGGAGACCACAAGCTCCTGGATACTCATCAAAGGCAGACTTAGAACAACAGGGGACTCAGTGGGAAAAGTGCTATGTTTGTGGTCATCTTACCGTATGGGTCCTTCCTTCCGATATTGGTTTGTATCTGTTAACTTTTTAGACTTTGTAGGACTACTTGAGGAGATGCATAAGCCAGTGTGACACTTTGGACCTAGTTATTCCCATGTGGTTATACAGGTTGTTCCAGAAGACAGCCATGCAAAGGCATTCTTTGATGTACCGGAAGTCTCACAGAAGTTCTTGCTTGCAAATGAAGCAAGATCCCTCTATCCACACAGATGCAAATTCTCTCTCTCTGCTCATGCATCTCTTAAAAACACCTGCTAAAATTTAGGTATTCTGCTGCATGGAGTCTTCCTCATGACAGAGATGTAATAGGAATAACAGAACTTTGAAGGCAAATAAACCCTGTGTTCCAATGCTATCTCTCCCCCTCAGCAGCAGAATAACCCTGGGCAAGTTCATGAAGCTTTTGCTTCAAGTAATCGCTTTGAATAAGTTAAGCCTCGAACATTAGTTTCCTGAATTGCAAAATAAGCATTATAAAATCTACATTTCCAATTGCGATGCGGAGGATATATGGTGAAATCAGTGTAAAATATACCGTCCTGCCTTTATCATAGAGTTATTGCAGTATAGATCTTTCTCTGCTTCTTATTGCCTAATGAAAAGCAGCCTCTCTCATGCTAGTTGATGTGGAATATAACATGAAGATTCTAGGTGCAAAATTTGTGAAAAATACTTGCATAGTACAAAAAGGGGAGAGGAACATATGATATGCCTGTAGAAGGATTCTAGAGATTTCTTAGTTAAAAAGGGAATAGTACAGTAAGCATATTCAGGTATAAAACTAGTAGAGAGGTAAGATGCACTAAGAATGGAGGGGTCAAATTACCCAGATATATACTATGTCCTGCCCATTTTCCTCAAAGGAAAACACTTGCTATTTTCCTCAAAGGAAAACAGTATGTTTACCTGTCTTTTTATCTATTAATCGATATAACCCATGTAAAGTTAACTGTTACCTTCACCTAAGGATTACTTTTGTTAATATTTTATTATATGTTTTTCAATTAGGTCAGGATTAAATTTGATGATATATGCAGAGTGTCTAGAAGTACACTTGGTTTCTACTAAGTAGTCAACAAAAGATAGTTATTATATGTGATTTTTTTTTCTAGAACTTGCTGCTTATAGTACCTAATGACACTATGATGCCTAAAAACTATTCTTTTTAAAAAGTGACCTTATCAGCCAAGTGTGGTGGCTCACACCTTTGGGAGGCCAAGGCAGGTGGATCACCTGAGGTCAGGAGTTTGAGACCAGTCTGGCCAACACGGCAAAACCCTGTCTCTACTAAAAATATAAAAATGAGCTGGGAGTGGTGGTGGGTACCTGTAATCCCAGCTTCTCAGGAGGCTGAGGCAGGAGAATTGCCTGAACCTGGGAGGCGGAAGTTGCAGTGAGCGGAGATCTCACTACTGCATTCCAGCTTGGGTGACAGAGAAAGACTCTGCCTCAAAAAAAAAAAAAAAAAAGTGACGTTTTCTACCTTGTATTTCAGAGCTTTCATCTGTTTTGTTTTAAAATAATATGTGAGAAGCAGATAATTTAACAAATTTCCATTCTACTTGACAAAAAAGATAAAGTATATTCTGTGACTTTGTAAAGGGTTTCACAAGTTCTACTTATTTCGTAATTTCAATCTTTACATTTATCTGCTGTAAGTCAAAAATCTCTGTAAACTGTTGTGGGTATGTTGGCAAATATAATCATTAGCCTATGGAAGTTGCTGATAAGTCAAGAGCTGCTCATGTTACAGAAGCCTTTCTTGTAGAATTTCCCCCAAACTGAAGAGGGTGGTCTATTATAGCTTCCAGTTCCCTTGTAGCATTGCAGGCACTGGTAAGTAAACTTTAAGTAATTAGAATAGATTCTTCTCTTCAACCCTGTACTGACTGGAGCAAAGTAGGATTTGCAGGATTAAGGCTACTCCTTGCAAAGGTGAATGGGTTCACAGCTGACACATGCAGCGCCAAGCGTGGAACAGTGTTATTAAAAATGAGATTTCAAAGTAAGAGGAAATAGCTACATCAAACTTCACCTCATCACAGTAAGGTTAGGGAGCTATAAACACTTGGAATGCTCTTTCCCCCTGGTTTTAACAAGAAAAATGTAATAACTGTTCAAATTCCCATTACAAGGTTGTCAGAGCAACATTAGTACATGATGCGCTCCAAGACATGGATTGTTCAGAAAGTACCCACGCGTGAAATCAGAATTAGGCAAAATACTAGAATCAGGAGGAAAGCTGGCAAAGACTCATTTGCAACAACTGAAATGTCAATAAAAATATTATCTTGTTTTTAACAGACTGTTCTCTTAAGTTTAAGCAAGGGCTAAAAGGCATTCAGAATGTGCCCGTGCTAATTGCTCTTTGCTTACTAATTTTTAACATTTACTAACATTTAAAATATTTCACTTTTAAAATGTGGATGAAAATATTGTACAGCCTGCATGCAGAATGAGTTGAAGGCAACTGACTCAGTGACTTTATGTTCTAATTCATTTAATCAGAAGTTAGAGCTAGAAGTCCAAGTGCGTTATTTTAGAGACAAGGTCACGGACATCTAGAAAGGTGAAATAAGTTAATAGTTAAGGAGGTTGTAGGAGGAATTCTCATATTGGGTGAGAGTAAGATGACCCTTAAAGATTCCCTTGTTCTATGTCTTCTCCAAAATCAGCCAGTTAGAGGAAGAATCCATTTCTCTTAATCACATTAAGCCTAGTGCTAATGTTCAGATTGCTGGTAATACAGAAGGGAGAAAAGTCATACACTATGATCAAGCATTATTAACACTAATTAAAAATCTTACAGTCCTGAGGTTTTTATAGCCTAGGATAAATAAAATATATAATAAAATACACATTTTAGTAATGTCTTTTGCTAAAACTGTTCTTTTAAACGTTTCATATCAATAATCAGATTCTTAACAAATTCTAAATTATTCTTTTATCAGTTTTTGACCACTTTTTACATTTGGCACCAGTTTACCTTTTTTATTCTTAAAACTTCTTTTTTTTGACCTCTGGAAAACTGTATTTTCAGGACATTCTCCCACGTCTCTTATTCCAAAGGCTCTACATTCTTTCTGTCTTTTAAATATTTTATACTTCTCTAAAATGTGGAGCTCAAACAAATCAGCAAGAAAAAACAAATAATCCCATCAAAAAGTGGGTGAAGAACATGAATAGACAATTCTCAAAAGAAGATACACAAACAGCCAACAAATATTTTTAAAAATGTTCAACATCACAATTATCAGGGAAATGTAAATTAAAACCACAATGAGATACCATCCTACTCCTGCCAGAAAAGCCACAATTAAAAAAAAAAATAGACGTTAGTGTGGGTGTGGCAAAAGGGAACACTTACACTGAGGGTGGCAATGTAAACTAGTACAACCACTATAGAAAACAGTATGAAGATTCCTTAAAGAACTAAAAGTAGAACTACCGTTCAATTCAGCAATCCTACTACTGGGTATCTACCCAAAGGAAAATAAGTCATTATATGTAAAAGACATGCACATTCATGTTTTCAGCAGCACAATTTGCAGTTGCAAAGCTATGGAACCAATGTAAGTGCTCATCAACCAATCAGTGGACAAAGAAAATATGGTAGGTTTACACCACTGATATTACTCAGCCATAAAAAGAAAGGAAATAATATTTCGCAGCAACATGGATGGAGCTGGAGGCCATTATTCTAAGTGAAGTAATTCAAGAATAAAAAGCCAAGTATTGCATGTTCTCACATATACATGGAAGCTAAGCTACGAGGATGCAAAGGCATAAGAATTGTAGAATGGACTTCGGAGACTCAGAGGGAAAGTCTGGGAGTGGGGTGAGCAATAAAAGACTACATATTGGGTATAGTATACTCTGCCCTGGTGACAGGTGCACCAAAATCTCGGAAATCACCACTAAAGAAATTATCCATATAACCAAAAACCACCTGTACCACCAAAACTATTGAAATTAAAAAATTAAAAAAAGAATACATTGGAATTTCTTAGGAGTTTAGAGTAAAGATAAAGCAGAAGCCGCTGCATGAGGAAAGATGATGGAATCTAAAGGGATGCAATAAGCTCGATGCTTATGAGAAATTCTCTATCATTGGAGTGTAAAAGATACATGACTGAGTGGCAAGAGAAAAGGCTAGAAAAGTGGATTGTTCCTCCCTTCAGAAATATAATTCACTTTAATCTTATCCTTCTTGAGCATTTACCTTCCTCCCCATTCTCACTGTCAGAATATCATGTCTGTTTACACAAGTGTTTTCCTGTCACTGGTCTTTTCCACTGAACTTGCATGAATGCTACTTTTGAAAGCTCCTCTTCTACTCATATATACCAACATGCCAAGTTTACATCTCCCAGCTTAGTTCCAATCATCAAGTTGATGCAAATCTCCATTTTTATCCTGTATTCTAAAGGTATGAAAGGCCTCACTATTACAGGAACATACCGTATTGTTTCTATTTTATGCATTAGATGCTTTTATTTTCCTTATCTGAAATGTATTCTTTTCTTCTGCTAAACCAAGACCCATCTCTCATTATAAGGACTGGCTAAAGCCCCATGTGTTTTTGACATCTTTTCGATAATTTGTAGATATTGTATCAGTTGATGCAAGAAAATTGGGGAAATCCATCCTACTCATAGTTTAGACTTACCTATTTCAGAAAAATGTCTAAATTTAAGTTGCAAGTTTAGGTGGGGCAAATTGAGAAATTTAGCAAGCTGATTGCTGGGCATTTCCTCTTCTTACCTGCAAAGTCTTATAAGTATATCTGCTAACCAAATTCTAAGATGCAAACTGTTCTGAATATGGAAAAGCTATGACACAGGTAATACGAGCCAAGAAGACGTCTGAAATACTTTTTCTTTTTATAACATTTTCCTCTGAAACTGTAGTTTTTGATTGATTCATCAATTTGACTAATCAATCACATAAACAAAGGTTGTTTTGGTACCTCCTGTGAGCCAGGTACAGCAAAAGCAAATAGTCTACAGATGCCAGCTTCAAAGAGTTTACAGACAGTGGATGGAGAGACAAAGAATTGAATACTTTATGAAAATATAAAAGAATGGGTTCTATGGTAAATGTTTGTAGAACTCCAGCTGGACAGGGAGGGGCTTGCTCAGGAAAGTTTTCCAAAAGTGAAGAGGCCTATGAAGGGCCCTGAAGTATAAATGGGTGTATAGAGACATATGAGCAAATGATAAAACAATGAATCATGAAGTGCACTGAGCACCTATTATGTGTTTGGTATTTTTCTGGATATTCTGGAAACTAATCCAGAATGGGTATAAAAATGACATACACAAACACAAAAACACAGGGCCTCAAACAAAAGCACTTCAGATCCCCGTGCAGAATTTACAGTGCATTGGGTCAGAAACAATCTTTTTGAAACTAATCATTTAGCTTTGGAAACTGCAGCCAATTAAAACCCAGCAGATTATATGAGAGCTGTGTTGCTTAGGGCAGGAATTATACCAACGGAAAAGATAAAAATGCAGCAAATGGATAATTGGAACTAAGAAGAAAAGCAGTCAAGGGTTTTTAGTGAAGAAAGTGAAAATTTCCACATTTCACTAGGCTGTCACTAAACAGTCTGTTCACTCATTTATGCAACAGAAACAATGACTTAAAGAAATGACAGAGTGCCTACTGGATATGGAAGATTATACTAAATAAAGGAGATGTAAGGTGAAAACACACTGTAATGAGATAACACGTAACTTAGTAGAAACAATGTACTAAGTATGGCGATCAAAATATGGGCCAAGTCTCCCAGGAGCTCAGAGGAGATAATGATGAATTCTTCAACTGGGGCCTACATCACAGAGAAGGTAATTGGAAACTATAAATTGAATGATATTAATAGAAAAAAAAAAGCAAAAACCATTCTAGAAAGAGAAAGACTAATCACAAAGCAGAAAGAATTAGCATTCATAAACATTAAAATACGTGGAATGTTTGAAGAATGGCAAGGTAGCCTTGTGTAGTTATCCCCTTGTGATGTACAGTACTTTATAAAATGCCTTAAACCATTTTGGAACAGAGTAGAGTCTAACCAATGGACAAACTAATTAAATGTCAGCATGCATGCTAATAGAGGATGCAGGAATGAGGGTAGATTGATCTTAAACACCAATAGCTAGTCACATAGATCAATTTTAGTGTTCAGAAAATAATATCAAACTAAGAATCAGGAAATCCTAGCCCTTTCCCTAGGGTGTCCAACCACCCCAGTTTGCCTGAAATGTGGGATGTTCAGTGCTAAAACTGACATAATCCTGGGCAAACTAGGACAGTTGGTTATTCCAGTTCTGCTTTTAACTTTCTGTGTGAACTTGGGCCAGTTGCTCGACATCTCTGGGCCTCACTGTTTTTATGTTTAAGTATAACCAAGGTAATTAAAATGAATTTTCTGTAGAAATTCTTCAGTAATTTGTAAATTGTTTACAAAATTGGCTGCAAATATCCCCCTCTGTATACCTAGGCTCTTTTCCAAAGTTACTTTGCAGTTTTTCCCACTTGTCTTTCCCGCCCTTTAATCTGGACCTGCTCTGTGACATACTTTGACCAGTAGAATACAGCAGAAATGATGCTGACCCTAGGCTTTAAGAAACCCTGAAGATTTCCACTCATTTTCCTGACACTCTGCTCACCACCGGGTGAACAAGTCCGGCTAATCTGCTAGAAAATGATGGAATTTGTGGACAACTGTTGTGCTGTACAGATGTGACAGATGTGATGAGGGATATGAAAGGTACCAGCCAAGGTCAGCCAAACTGCTGACTCAACCTGCGGCTGACCACAGACAAATGATAAGCCCAGGAGAATAACCATTTTGCTGGCCCAAAATGCTACTGGGCAATAACATTAGAAACCACTCAGCTTTAGGGTGGTTTGTTACATAGCAACAAATAGATCTAAAAGATAATTTATACATTCAAGGTAAAGGGGGTACCAAGATACACTAATCTGTTCCAAAATGAGTAGTGTTCCTGCAAGGACAGCTGTAAGGACAATGGTTGGAACTAATATTTCCTAATAGAGTAAATCTAAAACACAGACAGACAGATTAAACACAACACAAAAACCTGTTGGAAATAAGAAAATCCTAGTCAAAAGAGGGCTTTCTTATTATTGAAATTATCATATCCTGGGAATCTTAATATTATTCATATTTTGTTATGTACTAAAGTCAGGGGTAAATATAGATATTTAAACCTTTATAATGTAAGTAATCACTACTTTCTTATCTTTGAATACAACAAAAGATGAATAATATTGAATTTGCTTTACAGTCTGATGTATTTGCTTTAAAGTCAAATACTTTTTTTTGCTTATACATAGCTATAATTCATGTTGAGATGTCCCTGGGTAATTGGACAGAAGCTTTAAAGTCCTGTAGTAGTCTCTCCATACTTAAGCACTAATGAAAATGGACCAGAAAGAACGTTTGCATGCAACGTGATTTGCATGTATAGATGATGACTTTTAGCTCGTAAAGCTAACCTATTACCTAGCTCATCTTGGTAATTCTGACAACGAAACAAATGAAGGATTTTTTCTTAAAAAAAAACTCCCCGATTTAATTTCTTTTACCATGTTTAATTTTGTCCTTTCATATCCACTCACAATTTCATCTGATCGGCTATTGAAAGGAAATATATGGGAATAACAGAGGATATAGTTTTGCCTCCAATATACAATATGCATTCTGTCTCATTCCATGAAAAATGAATAGCTGTTTTTAATAACATCTTGTGACAATGCATGAATCTCTCAGTCCCTAAAAATTAAAGAAACACAACATTTATTATTTCTAAAGAACCTTTTATCTCAAGATTTTGAAATGATTCCCAAATGAATGTTAAATCCAGACATCATCTTTCATTCCCTATACTCTATTCTTCCTTTTGATCTCAGTAGAGTCAAAATTTGATATATCTCATCACATTATTCATTTGCCTGTCATTCAAGTCTTTTATGATTTCTTTCCATTTCAGTCAATTGCCAGGAATAACTTCTTTTATTCTGTACAAGGTTTTTGTTTTTTTCACTTTTGCTAACATTCCTTCACATAGACACAATGACACTCTGTATCCAGAAAACTTATTCTTTTTCTAACTCTAACCTCTTTTATTCTTGTGGAAAATAAAGCTGATTCTTATTATACAGGGAACTGTGACATTCTGGAAAAGACACTTGGCTGAATATTAGGAGAGGCAGGTTCATGAATTTGAGCAAATCACTTTACCACTCTCATCCTCAGTTTTATTATCTGTAAAATGAGGAAGCTAGATTGAATGATATCTAATATTCCTTCCATCTTGAATAAAAGCTGCTCCCTCAATATTAGGCACTAAAGGAATTGTGATATATTAGGATTATAAAGGTATTTTTCTGCCCCAGAATCACTTAGGAAAAAGTACATTTCTATAATATCTCAACGGTTAATGGAAAATATTTCATCAAGTTACTTTTCAGTTAGAATTTTGTTGATCATCATTTCCTTAAATAACACAGCGTGGTTTTAAGAAACAAATGAAGAGAAGAGCAAAGTCTTGTGGAACACTGGGTTTCTCTGCCAAACAGGCAGCTTGAAAATTCTGTTATTCCCCAGCTACTGGGATTACATTAGTAGCTAAAAAAGCTTTTTCCATCTACTGTGTAGTCTCTGATTTGCCTTTAAATACACATGTGATGTAAATTCATGTTTTCCTTTCTTTCTCCATGTGGTCGGGAGAGTCACAGGGAATTATTGGTCCCCAGGCCAAAAAGTTTTAGAGCAGACTAATATGCTGGTAGAAAGTGACATGCCAGGTAGATTGATCTCCGTGGTAGAATATGCAGACTACATTCTAGTGTAGGTGTACTTGGGAACTGGATATAAGTCACTAGGATGAGAGTGTTAGAGCATGATGAGGTAGTCATAATTTGTACGTTTTGGTGGCCAATAAGGCCTAGGCAGTCAAGGGGTTTATCATTTCAAACCCGGATGGCTAGGAGAATGGTAGCAACAGTGATGGAGCTCCCAGGTGGGAGGGAGATCAGGTATCAGGGGATGATGTGAAGTAGTTGTTTACACACTAGCCAAGGGCAAAAGGTGCGAGTAGACGGACTATCCCAGAATACGGGTATATATCAGTGAATCTCAGAACAATGGGCCTTTAACATGAGCCATGTGCTCTACTTAACATATTGAAAGCGCGATCTCTTTTAATTCTCGCAAAACCAATGAAATAGGTGTCATTATCCTCCCCTTCTTAAAATGTGGAAAATGAAGCCTAGGAAGATTAAATAATGTGCCTGGGACTACACGTCAAGCAAATAGTCTAGCAATAGTTCTGGCTACACAATTTGTGGGGCCCAGTGAAAAATAAAAACATGGGTTTCTTGTTCAAAAATTACTAGGAATTTCAATTTGGTGCCAGTAAAACACTAAAGCAAGCAAAGGATCCTTCTAACTTTAGTGCTTTATGTAACTGCACAGGTGGCCAGACCATGATATCGGCCCTGTCTACCAATAATTAATCCTAATTCTGCTTGTAGCTGGTATTCCTGACCTCCAGCACATATCATGGTTTCTTTGCTGTTGAGTGGGAAGTAGAACAGCTTTGACAGATGTTTAAAACACTTATTATAACTGGAGACAAAATACTGACAAAAAGCCCTTTGCTAAAAATAATGGAGACATGTTATCTGTTGGAATGCTTAAATAAATCACCGAAGGCACACGTGTAGATAAAAACTGACTAAGTATTTTCTTTAATTGTTTTCTCTCCCAGCTTGAGAAACCATCAGAAATAAGCCTTACATGTAGATCTTGCCTAAGACCAAACTTGAGACTAAATTACTGATTGAGGAAATGTGTGCTAAAAGTACAATCACATTTTTCAAACTTTATTTCAAACAACATCTTGCTCTAGGATATTCAAATAGAGCCTTTTACCTAAAATCAATTTTTTACAGAGAGACAAATTGGTAACTAACTATACACAATGAACCCACGCACATTACCCATGTATTTGCACAGATGGCATGGACATGACCCATGATGTGTACTGTGTTGCCTGTGGTCATATACATCTAGACACCAGAATCTACATATAAATAAGCACTAGGTGGTTTCAAACACATCGTGAATTTTTAATAAATAAAGAACAATTATAAAAAGACTTCTGGTTAGTTTCTTCCACTCAAAAACATACTTTAATTTCTTCCCCTCAAAAACAGTAATTTTTAATAAAAAGAGAACAATGACAACAAGACTTCTAGTTAGTTTCTTCCACATAAAAACATAGTCTAGGTTTTTCTTGGAAACTCAGTGTAAATGAAGATACTTTGTAATTGCAGAAAAAAAATTGATAGCATATATCCATCCTCTAAGTTGGAATCTAGTTTTATATTTCACCCTCTTTTGGCTTATTAGTTCTTTGTGCAATATCATCATCTAATAAGCAAAGTGGAGAAATCGTGCTACAATATGGATGCTATCCTAAAATACTCAGTTCACTGGAGTGAAAGTGCTTTATATTTGCTTAGCTTAAGTAATTTTTAAATATATTTGTGCAAAGGATTTTTAATGAATAATAATTTCTATGTGAAGTCTTGACTGATACTAGTGTCTCTACTTATACAAGGTGAGCAACAAATTCTCATAAAAAGATGTGTTACCTTTCCTCAAACAAGCATAAATGGAATAATGATGATTTTTTTCTCCTTTAATTTCCTTCCTTCCTTCCTTCCTTCCTTCCTTCCTTCCTTCCTTCCTTCCTTCCTTTCCTCCCTCCCTCCCTCCTTCTTCTTTCCCTGTCTCTCTCTTTCCTTTTTTCCTCCTGGTCTGCTTTCCTTCCTTCATTTCTTTCTTCTTTCATTTCTTCTTTCTTTCCACCCTCCCCACAAACCCATCTCTCTTTAGAGAAGCTGGCAGTGAAGAATATCAATTAGAAAAGAGGTACTCAGAACCCAGAAAATTAAATCACCCCTCCACAACACACATCAGGGCTTTACTCCAGTGATTAGGGAAATATTATTTAAACGTTTGATAACATTAAAGTCTTAAAAGGTTTAAAAGTCGACTGACTCTTTAAAAATCAAGGCTAGTAAGAAAACTGAGATTTTAAAATGTCACTTTAAGCTAAATGATTATGCAGCTGATGTGAGAGAGGCAGACGGACTGGATTAAAGTCATGTGCTCAGTATGTTGCCTAGTAGAATATGAGTTCTTACCCAGTTGGAGGCAGGGGGAGGAGCAAGATACACAATGAGATGAAGAGGTGGAGAAAGAAGAAGTTTTCAGTCAAGTGGGAGCACCTGAGAGTTAGATCCATAGACCATAGCTGATAAGATTTCCGCATCTACCAGATCCAGGGCATCTGCTCAGTTCAGTCTCCTGAAGACCTGGCTCCCATTGTGCTTTTTAATTTTTAATTTTTTTAACCCAAGAGATTCCTTCTTTTCTCATTGTCAGATGTAACAATGTAATTAACCACCATTATTAAATAAAGCCTAAATATGTCTGGTTTCAGGTAAACAAAAGGATCCGACACAGTTATGAATAACCTGCATAATTTGAGTTAATTGGTACAAATCTGGAGAGTGAAACTTTCTCCTGTTCACCCTGAAGGGAAATGTTAATCCTGACCAGCTGTGTTTGCTCCTTCTGCCTGCTCATGAGAGTTACTTAGGCACTAATAGAACTTCTAGATCATGGGGATCCACCTAGATCTGCTGCATCAGAATTTCCAGGGGAAGGGGCCTAGGTGTCTGTATTCCTAACAAAATCCACGTGTAATTCTTGTGACTGGGCCACTTTGGCAAAAGCTGTTGAGCAGTCATGAGGTCCTGATTGTGGCCCTGAACTCAAGTCAGGTTGTACAGACTGTAGAAAAAATTAGAGAACCCTGGCTTGCTTTATTATATATATTTTCAAAAAGACATCAATTAAATAGGGGTGTGCACCTGAAAACTTGCAACTTGGGCCAGGCACAGTGGCTCACACCTGAAATCCCAGAACTTTGGGAGGTTGAAGTGGGAGAACCACTTGAGGCCAGGAGCTTGAGACCTATTTGAGAAACATAGCAAGACCTCATCTGTATAAAAAAAAAATAATAAAAACTTAGCTGGGCATGATGGCACACACCTGTAGTCCCCACTACTCAGGAGGCTGAGGATGGAGGATTGCTTGAGCCCAGGAGTTCCAGATTACAGTGCGCTATGGTCTTGCCACTGCACTCCAGCCTGGGTGACAGAACAAGACTGTCTCAAAAAAAGTGCATTTTTCAGAAGTGATCAACAAACACTAGCTGTGGTATAGAGAACACCCGAGAGAAAACAGGGCTTCCCACAGCTAGATCATAACTGTGAGGGCTGAACTAGCAGAAGGAAATAGCCACTCTTGTTGTCTTTGAGTCAACCCCGCACTGTTGCAGAACATGTATGGCGGATCAGGGACAATACTCAAAGTTGGTCATTGAGAGAGGAGGCAGATACTGTATATTGCTGCTGAAGAGGCTCATGTACATATAAATGACCCATGAAATGAGGCAAGAGGATGGAACTTAGCTTTTTCTCCAAAACCAGGGCGAGTAGGGATCTGCGAAACTCAGAAATACTAACATTTACAGCCTATATGTTAAAAAGCACATCTTGTTTCAGTGTCATTGCAAGCACCAGGGCCTCAACCAACTCAAAGAGAAAAGAAGTTGGAAATCACCGCTTTAAAACCAGGTGCACAGGTGCAAGCATACTGCACCCCACCTCCGCCTCCCAGCACACACATATGCGCAAAGAGGACAATCACATAAAATTTTAAGCATTGATCTCAGTATGGGGGAAGAGCACAGTCCTATTCCACACATGATTTATACAGATATAACAGCTTTAATGTGGTGTGCCACCTCTAAATTTTTAAAACAATCTTATAATAGTGTTTAAAACCAGATAGGGACAGTTTGGAGAGCAAAGCTATATCAAAGGGTTTAGTTAAGATGATTTACTTGTGGGTTTTAAACAGCATTAAGTGGTTTGTGAAAAGCGTTCTGATTTGTGCTTAATATGGATGGTGCTTAAAAGTCTGGGCAGTGGAAAGGTACAGCCCTGGAGACACATTCACCACGAAAATGCAGGCCTTAAATACAGCTGGGTGTTTGCTTCCAAGACTGCTTTTCTGAATATTAGCATTTAAACCTCCCACAGAGGCTTTGCAGATGCTTCACCGGGTAAATGAAGTAAAGATGAGAAAAGTTACACCCCACTGCTGTTTCTTTTTAATTTAGTGATAGTTCTAAAAATTCAGTTGACCAGATAATCAGAATTTAAACTAGTAGAAAACAAGCTTTCTTGAAAATCCAACTCAGCTTAGTTAATATTCTTAAATAAACAAAGGGAACTGACCCTACTTCTGCTTACAACCTTCTGATTCAATTTCCATGCTATTTTAACCATAAAAAAGTAATTACTCTTTATCTGAGTAATATGAAAGTAGTCATAATAATATGATTTTTGTTATTATATTTTTTCAAAGAAATTCAGAGTGGTATATAATACTGTCTCATTCATTCCTCATAATATCCTTAATAAATTAGCTTGAGCTATTACCATCTACACACACTTTTGTGAGGTTGAGTCATGGACACATATAAGGTAGGAACTGCAGAAGACCTGGGTACATGTGTTACTCCAAAAATTCATTTAAAACATATTTTTTAGCTTCCACATGTACAAAGGATAATTCTAGGCTCTGGGGTCACTGAATGAAAAGCAAACAAGCCCCCTGATTCAATTTTAGTTAGTGAGACAAATAAAAAATGAATAAATAGGCTGGGCGCGGTGGCTTACACCTGTAATCCCAGCACTTTGGTAGACCGAGTTGGGTGGATCACAAGGTCAGGAGTTCAAGACCAGCCTGGCCAACGTGGTGAAACCCATTTTCTACTGAAAATACAAAAAATAGCTGGGCATGGTGGTGGGCACCTGTAATCTCAGCTACTCAGGAGGTTGAGGCAGGAGAATCATTTGAACCCAGGAGGCGGAGTTTGCAGTGAGCCGAGATTACACCAGTACGCTCTAGCCTGGGCAAAAGGGTGAGACTCTGTCTCAAAAAAAAAAAAAAAAAAAAAAGAATAAATAAAAAATAAACCAAAAAGAACATTGCAGAGTGTGATGAGTGATTTGAAGAACACCAGATGAGATGTGTGAGAGAAGTAACAAGGATAGGGGTAATAATTTCAGATAGAGGGTCAGGAAGGCCTCCGAGAAGGTAACATTTGACCTGAGACCTAGATTTCAGGAGACCATAAGGCAACACTCTGGGCAACAGTACTTCAAGCTGAGGAGATAAGTGGTGCCTTGTCCTGCAGTAGGAATAAATCTACTGCATGCACCGAACAGGGAGTGTAATGATGGGGCTGGACTTTCATGAGCATGAAGAAATGCGGGAATGGGACAAAGAGAAAGACAAAGGCAGAAGTTAGCTCATGCAGAGTCTCATGTGTCGTAGAAGGGAGTTGTAATTTTATTCCAAATAATGGGGAAGCCATTGGAAAGTTTCAAAAAGTAAACTGACATGATTCAAGTTATTTTCTAAAATTAAAACTCTGATTGCTGGATAGAGAATGCTGTACAGAGCAAGACTGGATAAAGAGAGGCCAGTTCTTAGGCTATTGGGGTAAAGTGATGTGTATTATGTGTGTAGATAGAGAGAGAAAACAACTTTAAGCAGTTCAAAAGATTTTATTTCTGTGGTAAAAATTGATTAAGGATTAGCAGTGCACAAAATATAAATCAATGATAGATATTAAAGACAAAAATAAATGAACTTTCTACCATGTAAGGACACAGTGAAATGGCACTGTCTGTGAACCAGAGAGTGAGCTCTCACCAGGCACTGAATCTCCTGGTAGCTTGTACTGGGACTTCCTAGCCCCCAGACAGTGAGAATTAAATTTCTGATGTGAAAGAAGGAAGGAGGGAAGGAAGGAGGGAGGGAGGGAGGGAAGGAAGGAAGGAAGGAAGGAAGGGAGGGAGGGAGGGAGGGAGGGAGGAAAGGAGGAAAGGAGGGAGGGAAAGAGAGAAAAAGAAAGAAAGAGAAAGAGAGGAAGGAAGGAAGGAAGGCAGGCAGGCAGAAAAGAAAAGAAAAAGAAAGAGGGACAGAGGGAAAAAGAAAATAACAAATTGATCAGGTTTCACTGCTGTTTTTAAAGATAACCATTCTAACTGGTTGAAGAGGAGTGCTGATATTGGGCATCCTTGTCTTTCTCTAGTTCTCAAGGTGAATGCTTCCATTGTTTGCCCATTCAGTATGATGTTGGTTGTGGGTTTGTCACAGATGGCTCTTATTGTTTTGAGATATGTTCTTTCAATGCCTAATTTCTTGAGGGATTTTATCATAAAATGTTGGATTTTATTGAAAGTTTTTCTCTATCTATTGAGAAGATCATATGGTTTTTGTTTTTAATTCTGTTTTTGTGGTGAATCACATATTTTAAAAGTGTAATTTAAAGTTCTGGGATACATGTTCAGGATGTGCAGGCTTGTTACATAGGTAAACGTCTGCCATGGTGGTTTGCTGCACCTGTCAACCCATCACCTAGGTATTAAACCCAGCATGCATTAGCTACTTTTCCCAATTCTCTCCCTCCCCTCTACTCCCCAACCCACTCCAGTGTATGGTGTTCCCCTCCCTGTGTTCATCTGTTTTCATGTTCAGCTCCCACTTATAAGTGAGAACATGTGGTGTTTGGTTTTCTGTTCCTGCATTAGTTTGCTGAGGATAATGGCTTCCAGCTCCATCAACGTCCCTGCAAAGGACATGATCTTGTCCCTTTCTATGGCTTCATAGTATTCCATGACGTATATGTACCATGTTTTCTTTATCCAGTCTATCAATGAAGGGCATTTGGTTTGATTCCATGTATTTGCTATTGTGAATAGTGTTGCAAGGAACATATCTTTATAATAGAATAATTTGTATTCCTTTGGGTATTCACCCAGTAATGGGATTGCTAGGTCAAATGGTATTTTTGGTTGTAGGTCTTTGAGGAATGGCCACACTGTCTTACTCAATGGTTGAACTAATTTACATTCTCACCAAGAGTGTAAAAGTGTTTCCATTTCTCCACAGCCCAACAAGCATCCATTGTTTTATAACTTTTTAATAATAACCATTCTAACTGGCATGAGATGATATCTCATCGTGGTTTTAATTTGCCTTTCTATAATGATCGGTGATGTTGAGCTTTTTTGCATATGTTTGTTGGCTGCATGTACAGAATGGGAGGAAATTTTTGCAATCTGCCTATCTGATAAAGGTCTAACATCCAGAATCTACAAGGAGTTTAAATAAATTTACAAGAAAAAAACAAACAACCCCATTAAAAAGTGGGCAAAGGACATGAACAGACACTTCTCAAAAGAAGACATACATGTGTTCAACAAACATATGAATCACATTTATTGATTTGCATATGTTGAACCAACCTTTCATCCCAGAAATAAAACCTACCTAATCAGGGTCAATTGGCTTTTTGACGTGCCTTTAGATTAGGTTTGCTAGTATATTTAGAGAATGTTTTGTTTTTTTAATTGGGGATATTGGCCTGTAGCTTTCTTTTTTGTTGTATCTTTGCCAGGTTTTGATATTGGAGTGATGCTGGCTTCATAGAGTCACTTAGGGAGGAGCCCCTCCTCTTTGTCTTTTTGGAATCATTTCAGTAGAATTGATATCAGCTCTTTCTTGTATGTTTGGTAGAATTTGTCAGTGAACTAATCTGGTCCTCAGTGTTTTTTGGTTGGTAGGTTTTTATTACTGATTGCATTTTGGAACTGGATACTGGTCTGTTCAGGCTTTTAATTTCTTCCTGATTCAATCTTGGGAGAATGTGTGTTTTCATAAATTTATGCATTTCATCTAGATATTCTGATTTGTGTGCATAGAGGTGTTCATAATAGTCTCTGAGGATCTTATGTATTTCTGTGGGATTGGTTGTAATGTGACCTTTGTCATTTCTTATTGTGCTTATTTGGATGTCCTCTCATTTTCTTTGTTAATTTAGCTAGCAGTCTGTCAATTTTGCTTATCCTTTTAAAGAACCAAATTTGGTTTCATTGATTCTTTGCATGAACTTTTGTTTCTCAGTATTTTATTCAGCTCTGCTCTAATTTTAGTTATATCTTTTCTTCTGCTAGCTTTGGGTTTAGTTTGTTTTTATTTATCTAGTTCCTCTAGGTATGATGTTAGATTGTTAGAGATGTTTCTCATGTTTCAAGGTAGGCATTTAGTGCTGTAAACTTCCCTCTTAACACTGCTTTTCAGAAATTTATCCATTTTTTCTTGATATTCTGGTTTGTGTGTATAGAGGTGTTCATAATAGTCTCTGAGGATTTTATGTATGTCTGTGTGATTGGTGATAATGTCATCTTTGTCATTTCTGATTGTGCTTATTTGCATCTTAGAGATTTTGGTGTGTTGTGTCTCTTCATTTATTTCAAAGAATTTTTTTTTTTATTTCTGCCTTAATTTTATTGTTTTACTCAAAAGTCATTCAGGAGCAAGTTGTTAAATTTCCATGTAATTGAGTAATTTTGAGAGGTCTTCTTGGTATTAATTTCTATTTTTATTCCACTGTTCTTGGTATGATTTCTATTTTTTTAGTTTATTAAGACTTGCTTTATGGCCAAGCATGTGGTAGATCTTGGAAGTGTGTTTCATGTGCAGATGACAAGAATGTATATTGTGTGGTCAATGGGTAGAGTATTCTGTAGATTTCTATTAAGTCCAGTTGGTCAAGTTAAGTCCAGAATTTTTAAATTAGTTTTCTGATTTGATGATCTGTCTAATGCTCTAAGTAGGATGTTGAGTTCCCCCACTACTGTTGTGTGGCTAAGTCTTTTTGCAGGTCTAGAAGTATTTGCTTTATGAATTTGGGTTCTCTAGTATTGGGTGAATGTATATTTAGGATAGTTAAGTCTTCTTGTTGAATTGAACCCTTTATCATTATATAATGTCATCTATGTTCATGAGGGTGATTGGCTTGTGTTTTTACTTCTCATATTGTCTTTGGCAAATTTTGTTGTTAGGGTTATTTTCCCTCTTTTCTATACTGTGAAATAACTGTGTACAATTGGGATCATTTGTTCTTATTTTTTTTGGTAGAAATTTCTACTGAAAGCATTTACACCTTGAGTTTTTTGGTGTATGTTTGAAGATTTTTTAACTACTAATTTAATAGTTATGAAATTATTTAAATTTTTCAATTCTTCTTGAGTCAATTTGAAATATCATTTTTTATTCATTTAATCAAATGATCCAATTTTTTGTCATTTAATTATTTATCATGTTTTTATTTTCTTTTTATCTGTTTATGGCATCTGTGCTTATTTTTCATTTTTGCTCTCAGTATTTTGTAGCTCTTTTCTTGATTTTAGGATTACTACAGATATGTTCATTTTCTTGGTCCTCTGAAAGTATCAATATTTGACTTTACCAATCTTCTAATTGTGCTTATATTTGTTTGTAATTGAATTATTTTTGAATTTATTATTTTCTTGCATTTACTTTTAGTTTCATGTTCGTTTCCTAATTTCTTAAGATAGAAGCTCAGCTCATTCATTTTCAACTCCCCTCTTTTGTAACATAAATACATAGAGCGATAAATTTTCCCTTATATTCTGAAATACAAGGAATATATTTGAGATTCCCCACTCTGATAGTGGGGAAATTTTATACTATTTTTATATTCCTTCTTGTATAGTCTGTTTTTCTTGTATTGATATAGTTAAACAAGTTTTGGGGGGTTAATATTATATGATTCATTTTTTCCCATTATTAACTTTCAACTTTGCTATTTATTTTTGCTTAAAACAAAGCTCTTACATATAATTGCTGAATTTTTATTTCTAGTTCGGTATTTACAGTAATTTCTGATATATTTGGTTTTTCTGAATTATTTTATGCTTTCTATTATCTCATATATATATACACACACACATACATATATATGGATATATATATCCCTCTGTTTTTTTATTGGTATATGTACATATATCCCTCTGTTTTTTGATTGGTTAACTTTTCATTATATTTATTTTTTTAACTAGTTTGGAAATAGCATACCTTATTTCAATGCTTTTACTGGTTGCACTAAAAATTTTTCTTTTTTTTTATTGTTTTGATACCAGAAGTTTCCTTCTAGCTTCTTGCTAGCTCGTTGTTGAAACAAGGATATTTAAGTAATATTTATTTATATATTTTATATTTAAGTCGTAACTTTAATTCTTTTCTCTTTGGTAGACAGAGTAATTAGTGGGCATTTTTCTATAAAATAAATATAATTTAAAAAATTAAATAAAAGATATTAATTCAAAAAGATGTGAACTGAGTCTTTCAAAGACTACCTCTTGGCTACTAAGTTAAGCTTGAACTCAATCTGTGCATTCAAGTTCTTCTTTATTTGTCTTCAGCTATTCAATTGTTTCAGCAGATTTTTCATTTTGATACATAGTCTATACCCTGGACAAATATTAGTATTTACTTTCCCAAAAGTGTCCTGAATTCATAACTATTTTTGCAAATTCTGAAGTCTCTTCCTAAAATATACTCTGTCCCTCTGTGTTAAAATCCTATTCCAAGACCACTTCAATGGCAGTTCCCCCAGGAAGCTTATCTTTTATCTAGATTTTATTTTCTTCTTTCTTAACTCTCAAAGTTTTTTGTATGGTACAGTAGACTGAGAACAGGTTTTAGATTCAAACAGAATTAGGACGCTCTCATTTTGGCTCTGTTACTTGTTACGAGTGTGTGTGCTTAGGCAGTCTCTCTATGATTTAATTATTTATAATCAGGATTATATTATTTAAAATCGTATCTTATTTTGAGGACTTTAATAAAGTAATGCAATATAAAAATACCCAATGCTCAGTCAGTCCTATTTTTATTATTACCTTAGTTTATCCTATTTTATAGGTGTCTATATTAGTTTTATTTTCCACCAGACAGGTGCCTCCTTGGGAGATGGGATTCTCTCTTACTTATCTTGGTATGAACTGGCATAGTGTCTTATATACAGTATATGTTGAAGAAAGTTTAGTTTTTATGGAAATAAATTGAATTGAATATAACTGTTCATAGACCATGTGTCTGCTGCATGAGGGTGAAGGAGTTTTGGGAATGTTATCCCAAAATATGAAGTTTTGTTGTGCTGATTACTTTAAATTGAAGGCACCTGGGGACCAGCAGCAGCAGGCAGAGGTTTTCTCTGAATTTTTCTTATTGTTTTGATACCAGATACTCCAGAAAAAATTCAATTCATCCTGGATCTCCTCCCCAGGAAACTCATCATTGTGAGAAATTGACACATATCCCAGAAAAAAAGACCGGAAGTTAGCGCCACACCCAGACAGAATTTCTCACTGGTTACCACGTGCTCTTTGGGCCTATTCATTCTCTCCCCAAAATTATTTACTCCCCCTTAAGTGGCCTATATCCCACCACCCCTCTCTTCTATGAAAAGGATATATAAGCTTCTAAACTTCATTGGGTTACTGGGTACTCACTTTTCTTTCTGTGATGCCCCTGTGCACACAATCAATTTGTATGCATTTTGTCTTATTAATCTGTCTACTGTCGGTTTATATTTCATAGACTCAGTTACTGAACCTTCAGAGGGTAGAGAAAGAAAGGTTTTCTCTCTCCATTAAGGAAAAGGAGAAGTAGAGCTACCATTTGCAACTGGAAAGAAAGAGGAACAAAATCATATTGGTATCTTGAAAACTCCAGCTATTAACTAATAACATAGTAATCATCTTAAAATGTATAGGTATTTTATTAACTATCAATCTATCTCCCTACTTACCTACCTACCTACCTCTTTTTTTTTCAGAAACCACACTGTCATTGGAACACAGAGATGTAAGCATGCAAATGATAACATCTGTATATGTTATATTTCATGGAAATGATGTACAGTTTCTTTCCATTTGTAGTCAAGGTTATCATTGTACTATGCTTTAATTTGTAACCAAACCTCTAATTCTCATTATAAATTAACCAAAGTTAAATTACATCGTGATTTATGCAAAATCTGAAAAGAAGTGACTATGTAATTCTCAGAGGATGCTAAAAATCTCGACCGTACAATGCTTTTTTTCTAAGCAGCCTCAGAATCTTCTCTCCTCACCATTTTATATTCACTGAAGAGTCACTTGGGGAGGTAGTCGAATCAGTTAGGAGCATATACTTAGATGCTTGAATTCCCAAGTATTTTAGATGCTGTTTGTATTAAGGACAAATTAAGCTGAAAGTTGTAGTCTGGGGGGCTTTTGGAAAAGAAAAACCTGTGAGCAATTAATGGCTTGTTCAAGTTGTGCTTATGTGGAGAGCACAACCAGGCAACTTGTGAAGCAATTTATAGTAACTGGGGTAAATGAACCATGGTTAGAAGTAGAATTCATAAACTGTTTCCTAAACTGGTAATTAGCTAGAGATGTAACATGTAAAGTCAAAAACTGGAGGTGCTCATAGTACAACAAACCAGACTTGTTCTGTTGTCATTTACAGCTTAAATTAACTGAGTTTCTCAGTGTTATCTCTCGTTGGGAGTTGAGACTTATTTTATTATATTCAACAATTAAGAAAAAAGTGAAATCTAGAAACAAACTGGTGGAGTGGTCAAGAAAAAGAAAATATTTGAAGGACTTTAAAGAGGAGTGTTTAGGTTTTCCATCACCCTAAATTTGGAAAATATTAGGAACTGATATTTTGAGAGTTCCTGAAGTGTTTATCTTCTGATCTTCTGTGTTTAAGTGGATGCCATTAATTTAGATATTTGTGATCATCGTTATACTATGTAAACATACTGTTGAAAATGGAATTATTTGAAAATGTGAGAATTTTTTTCCCATTCTCATTCAACTATTTGGCAGAGTGTGAGTACACTGTTATTCAATAAATTTGCATTATTTTGGGTTATTAATTCTCTTAAAGAGACCAAGCTTAGAAATATGGATAGTACGGTTTACATGTTTGTCCCCTCCAAACCCTATGTTGAAATCAGATTCCCAGTGTTGGAGATGGGGCCTGGTAGGAAGTGATTAGATCACAGATGCAGATCCCTTGTGAATGGTATAGCATCATCCCCTGATGATAAGTGAGTTCTTGCTCAGTTCACTAAATATGTGGTTGTTTAAAATACTCTGGGACCTCTTCCCATCTCTCTTTTTTTTTTTTTTTGAGACAGAGTTTTGCTCTCATTGCCCAAGCTGGAGTACAGTGGTACAATATCAGCTTACTGCAACCTCTGCCTCCTGGGTTCAAGTGATTCTCCTGCCTCATCCTCCCGAGTAGCTGGGATTACAGGAATGCACCACCACGCCCAGCTAATTTTTTGTATTTTTAGTAGAAACAGTGTTTCACCATGTTATCCAGGCTGGTCTCGAACTCCTGACCTCAGGTGATCCGCCTGCCTCAGCCTCCCAAAATGCTGGGATTACCGGTGTGAACCACTGCACCCAGCCTTCTTATCTCTTTTGCTCCCACTCTGGCCATGTGAGGTGCCTGCTTCTGCTTCACCTTCTACTTTGCTTGTTAGTTTCCTGAGGTCCTCACTTGAAGGAGATGCTGGCATCCCACTTCCTGTATGGCCTGTAGAACTGTGAGCCAATTAAACCTCTTTTTCTTTATAAATTACCATGCCTCAGGTATTTCCTCACAGTGATGCAAAAGAGAAATGCATAAAGTGGCGTTGAAAATTATCTATAATCCTCTTCTCAGAGATAACCTGTGAACAATTAGCTGCATTTATTTCCAGTATTTTTAATGTATTTGTGTCCATGCAGACATTTTCTCTTCAAATGAAATTTCTACCGTGTTCAATGATTTCTTCCACTGATAATATACCATTATTTTATCATTGTCCTTAAGTACTCATCAAAAATGTAATTAAAAAAGCCCACAGTGGGCTGGGCAGAGTGGCTCACACGTATAATCTTAGCAATTTGGGAGGTCAAGCTGGGAGGAGTGCTTAAGCCCATGAATTCAAGACAAGCTTGGGCAACATGGTGAGACCCCATCTCTACCAAAACAAATTAAAAAAATTTTCCAGGCATGGTGGTGACAGTGTGCTCTTGTGGTCCCAGCTACTCGAGAGGCTGAGGTGGGACAAATGCTTGACCCTGGAAGGTCGAGGTTGCAGTGAGCTGTGTATGTGCCACTGCACTCCAGCTTGGGTGACATTGTGAGACCCTATCTCAATAAAAGCAAACCTACAATGCTTCTACAATATATCTGTTTTTTGTAAATCTTTAATTTTTCCTATATGGACTATGACTATATTTACTTGCGTTGCCACCATGATTTAGAATGCTTTCAGCTTTTTGCTTTGCAACTCCTGATATTTATTAACTTATTTGTACACACACCCATACACACACAATTTTTTTGTATTGTACTTAAGCATGATGATGATTCTTTTTATATTTGCTTGACATCTTGTTACCAAATTTATGACTATCAGTTAACTGTCATGCTTAATGTGTGTTTGTGCTTTAAACTCTCTTGTACTCCTATGTCTATAGGCCTATTTTTGCCAATTGGCAATATTTTCAGTTTTATTTGTCTCTTTTTTCTCTCAGTGCTCCAGAATCTGTTCCCCAAATATTAATCTCAAGGTCAGTTAGGTACACAGCTGTAGTCAAACGCTCAAGGTCTACTAAGGCTATAATGAAGCTCAACTGGACTGAGGTGAGATGTTTGTCAATTTCCATTTTCTAGTCCTTAGTCGTATCTAGAGGTAAATTTACTCCTGAAAAATTAGAAACGGTATATAGTCCTTCTTTTGCTAGAAGTAGTACACGGAATTACATAATTTCCAGAATCCATGAATTTCAATTTTTCCTCAGTATCACCATTTGTTGACATTATGCTTTATTTGCTAATCACTTGAAATCCTAAGATTTATGTCCTCTCTCACCCCATTGCTGGATTCATAATGTCCAAAAAGTGTTGGATTAGTTCAGATGGGGTGGAATACGGACATAGCATCTTACCACCTTGCAGGTGGGAGGGAGGTTCAAGCCAGCTTCTGTAGTAAGATGCAATTTCTGAATTTAGTAGATATGGACATAAAGTAGAAGTGAGTAAAATTTTTCCTCTGCTGGTTTCTTAATTGACTTCATTAAAGTTTCAGAGGTCTAGCTTTCAACAACTCATTGATAAATTCTTAATTTAGCTCATTTCTATATGAAACGGTGATTCCTCCCAGAAGTCAACAATTCTTAATTTCCAATGCTATATATTCTTAATTTCCAATGCTGCTATGACTGTGTTTTCTTTCCTTTTATATTTTTCTAATAAAATATAATAAAATGCTAATGCTTTATATTTTAAAATTTTTTCTAATAAAAAATTAGCATTCTAAGGAAAAGATGAAGAAGGTGACTCAGGCAGAGTCTTGTGCAGTTAGCTTTCACTGAAATCAGGAAGTCAGTATCTTAATCTCATCATAATGAATGTAAGGCCATTTCCTTCTCATCCCCTTAAGTTCATGGATAGGAAACAGCAAGAAACCATCCCTGAGTACTAAGGCATCTTATATAGTAAGCAGTTTATAGTTACTAAATCTTATAAATTCAGATATAAACCTTTCTTCCTTTAGGTAAACAATGCCATTTAATCATTTTATTTCTTTTGAAAACATAGATATTAATTCACATATAAATTCAAATTGTACATTCTTGATTTATGAATGCTAATTTTCTTTCATTATACAATTTCTTACACACTAAGGAAAACCCAGATACTTAAAGTTTATATTGTTTTACGTTCTTAATATGTAAAAGACACTGTCACAGAGGAAACAACAAAACAGCTTGTTCATTAGCAAACCCAGCATGTAGGTGGAAACAAAGGGACAAAAACAGGGCCCTAATTATACCCATGAATTCTTCTTCCATAGATAAAATAAGAAGACCTTGCTTTCTTCTCAGCAACAGTGTCCTTTAGGGCTTTTGTTAAGAACAGATTTTCCCATATGTCTCTGAGTCAGTATGTGAGCTTCATCATTGTTGCCTAATAAACACAACATGAATTCCCACTAGAAGTCAAATAATGGGTATTTCTAGTGCAATTTTCTATGCGTGTTAAATAAGTTGAAAATTTTGCCTTTCTGAAGCTCCTTTAGTGAGCAGGGGGCCATTATGTCAGATTTTGGACAAGTCTTTGCTTAGATTACAGTCCCATAAAAGAAAAATTATTCTATAATACTGCACCTCCATAGGATAATTTTATTTTTTTTGTATGCAGGATTTCTTAAGCACCAGTTTGAATTATAGTCCATTATCTTCATAACTGTTACCTTACTCTGCCTGGGCATAAAAACTAGTGCTTAAAATATGTTGAAATTTCAATAATTGTGAATAATTTTAAACATATATGACATTCTATGAGGTTCAACAACAGTTTATATATGCACTTATGGAAAGGAAACAAAATAAACTATACCTTTATCAAAAACTATGTATTCTTCATTTTAGCTAAGATTGTCTTTGTCCACAAAAAGTACAGGAAATTGAACATGTAATAATGAAGACTTAATATTTGTGCACTGCTGGAGTGCTTCTGGATGATTATATTTTAACAAAAGTTAATGGCCAAGTAATGGAAATAATGAGCTGGAGTGAAAATCCAATATGAGTTTGATGAGCAGAACATTCTGAATGAAGGTCTGCTAGAGGAGAAAATCCCTGTGGAATATTTTACTTACTAGTACTTCTGGAGTTTATTAGTTTCAGTATGAAAAGGGAAATGATTGATACAGGAACCTAAGTGACTGTGTGCCAGTAATCTTCAAAAGTGAAAGTGATGGGGGGAAAACCTGGAGAGCCCTTAAAGAAAAACAGTGAAAAAAAAAGTCTTTAAAATACTTCATTTCTATTTCCATTAACTCCCCATGTCTATTTGTCTATTTGCACATGGCCTATAAAATGTTAATGGAACAAGTAAATATTTGGTCGGCTAGGACAGGAACCTATTCCAAAGACATTGAGCTAGAAATAGGTAAGGGAGATGAGATTTTCAATGCCAGGAATAAATGACGACAGGTTTGGGGCTCTGATGAACAAAGAATAGTGATTTGCGGACATAGATTGATGAATAACAAATTTATGACATAAAAGATGTAAAAGACTCCTTTAGTCCTTGGAAACAAATCTTAGGTATTCTTTTCCTTAATGACTGGAGAAAGAAAGGAGAATGGTAAGCATTTCCAGACTACTGATAACAGAAATGGATGCCAGTATTCTAAGATTCAAAGGTACAAATTATATTAATACGGTTAGGCTTTGTGTCCCCACCCAAATCTCATCTTGAATTATAATCCCCATAATCCCTATATGTCAAGGGAGAGATCAGGTAGAGGTAACTGAATCACGGGAGTGGTATTCCGCACGCTGTTCTCGTGATAGGGAATGAGTTCTCATAGATCTGATGGTTTTATAAGGCACTCTTCCCCCTTTCCTTGGCACTTCTCCTTCCTGCCTCCTTGTGAAGAAGGTTCCTTGCACCTGCTTTGCCTTACGCCATGATTGTACGTTTCCTGAGGCCTCCCCAGCCATGCTGAACTGTGAGTCAATCAAACCTCTTTCCTTTATAAATTACCCAGTCTTGGGCAGTACTTTATAGGAGTAGGAAAATGGCTTGATACAGATACCATCATTATCACTATCACCATTACCACCACCACCACCATCATCATCGTCATCAGTATCATTATCATTATACATAACATTCACTGAGTACTGAGTAGATGTCATACACTAGGCAATATATTTTACATGTAAAATTTCATTTAATTCTCACAACCCAATCAGCTTACTCTTTTAATTTAGTAAGATAATAAATTAGGTAACTTACTGAAACCTCATAATCTGCAGGATAAGCAGAGCAAGTAAGTCCTCTTTTCATACACTGGTTTATACTTTTACCAACAACGTTAAAGTGCTTTGCAAATCATAAACGCTACGAACTCATAAGCAGTCATCATCATTATTAGTAATAATGTGATTTACTATCTGAAGGGAGTTCATATTGATCATTCTGTGATATAAATAACAAACAAATGTAAACAAATCTTAGCTCTGATGTAATCCATTTTCTTGTATATTTTAGTTGTATCATTTAGGGCCAAATGAATGAAATGTTTGGTAATATATAAGCAGGCAGCTAATTTGTTAATCATATTTTTTTCTAAAAGTCATATTATTTTCTAGTTATCAAATTTTCAACTTTAGAATAATGATTTCTAAATTTCCTTAGCAAAATATATACACATAAAAAATACTGTGTTTTGAAGACACTGACCTTCAAGAAAACAAAGAAAACTAAACCTGGCAGATTTACTCAAAACGTGGTAGAAAAAAATGAGCCAAATGGTTATTTGGCACTCTGTTGACAAATGACGAACTATAACCTTCAGTTGTTCTATCATTTTCAATCATTTTATTTACAATTTAGAGTTAAATTTAAGTAATGCTAAATTAAATTTACCTTTGAGATTTTCTGACATATTTTCAGATGATTAGATTATATTTTCCTGCAATTAAGACTATATATTACATTTTTATGCCATTGCTCTGGACATAATTTTATGCTATGAAAGCAATTGACGTATTTTGTTTTTTTAAATATTTCTTTTTGATCTTATTTTATTATATTTTTGAGACAGGGTTTTGCTCTGTCATCCAGGCTGGAGCTCAGTGGTATGATTATGGCTCAGCTAAACCACCCAGGCTCAACCCATCCTCCCACCTCAGCCTCTTGAGTAGCTGGGACTATAGGCGTACACCACCATGCCTGACTATTTATTTAAGTTGTTTTTTCTTCTTTTTTATTTTTTGTAGAGATAGGAGTCTTGCTGTGTTGCACAGGCTGGTCTCAAACTCCTGGGCTCAAGTGATCCTCGCATCTTGGCCCCCCAAAGTGCTGGGATTATAGGCATGAGAACTGTACCTGGCCTGAATGTCTCTTTCATAATATACTATTATGTTAATTCCTTTTCCCCAATATAATATTATTATTTATTTCTTATACAGAAACTGCCATTTGCTGTTTCAATAGTTCTTTGGAATGAACCCAAAACAACAAAATTTTTATTGAAGGACAACACTAACTCATTCAACATTTTTGTCTCAATTGTTGTAGGTTGGATGAGTGGGGCACATATTTGATGTAGATCATATGAGTGATATTTATATTTATATTCCAATAAAATAAGCCATGATTTGAATCTCCACACCCAATGTAAGTTATAAATTAAAAAATGACACAAACTTTTTGAAGTCTTAACAGTTTTCTAACACCTCTGTTTCCATTTAAATTTATATTTAGAGCTGTAATCAAATGGTTGGTGTGCATTATAACAGAAAAGCAATCTAAAATTTCCTCAAGAAAATAAGTTGTCATTGTAACTGAGACTTCTTTTAAAGAATGTAAAATATAGGCATTTGACATTGTTAAGTTTCTAGTCATAATTTTAGAATGTACAATTTTTCAACTATGTGTCTTCTTATATTATGGAATTCTGCCTATTGCTGTTGAAATCTTAGCCTCTTATTTAATATTAAGTGTTATTATTTTTTGTAGTGAACTACATTTTTCTTCTTAAAACCTAGGGCTGCCAGATATGGTAACAAGTCATTCAATAATAAAAATGGTATTTTGTAAGTGTGCCTGTCAATATTAAGAATAAAAATGCAATATATGTCTGGGCTTTGTTATTCAATAAAGCCAGTTTATTGACCTAAAACATGTAGATCAAGGTAGGCAGAATGCTAAGGAAATGTGGCTGAGCCTTGCTTTTACTTGAATAAATTAAAAAAAAAAATTACATTTTAGCCTTCTTCCTAAACAACACTTTGACTGGAAGTATTGACATCTAGAAAAAATTGAGTGATCTGAGTTTCAGGTCAATGTATCTTTCTCACTAACCCCAAGGGTTAGCAGTAAAGAAAGGAAGAGAAACAAGAAAGTTGAAAAATTCACAAACTGTATTTTTCAACATCTGAAAAATAAAAAATTTAGTAAGCTTATGTTGTTGTAATAGAATACTCATAATCCTGTTACTTCTCTCAATACTTTTGCTTTGGTAAAAGAGGTTCCACCCTAATTTTTTAAACTCACCATGTGTCATTTTTCAACAGTTGATGAAGAACATTCTTATTGTGAACTGAAATAAATAGGACAAAACTCACATGCCACCCAGAAACATAAAACAAAGTCATGCATTTCAGATAGAATGTTTTGCGTAGATAAGGCATATATATTTTAATGACACTGTAAGCTTTTTAATACGTCCAGAAAAAATAACCTAGCAGTGTAAATTATTTGTTCTTACTATGCAACAAAACAATTTTCTTCTACTTTAATTAGGTTTGTGCAGTTTTTTAAAAATCATAGTGTTGTGAGCAAAAATCCACTAATATTCAATCACTATCTGATCAATTCTGTCATAGGCAACAATGATCTCACAATTTGTCATTTGCTACCCGCCCCCCAACCTAAGAATGAGAAATTCTTTTTAAAACAAGTTGTACGATGTTGGGGCTCAGAACATGATACCCCAGAATATGGCACAGAGTACCTTGACCTGAAGAAGACTGAAAGGACCTTGGAAGCAGGATATTTTTGATCTTCTCCCATCTGTCCGTTTCAAACTCCTCTTTCTCTACTGAAGAGAATGATAGAAACCAGAATTCTCTCCCCCAAGGCAGATCATAGAAACTATAACTTCCCTTCGTCAAAGCAAACTATAAAACCTAGAAAGATTGACCTTCTCCCTTCTCCCTTGAATTGTCTCATGTGACAGGTGATTTGTCCTACACCTGGAGGAAAGGAATACCACACAAAATGGCCAAGAAGAATCTGAACACATAGGCCTTGGTGGATTTCCCCTCTCAGTCTATAACCATTAGATCACATACTTTTTGTCCAATCATATTTCTACACGGCTCTCTATTCTTCACTGAACCTAAGCATAAAAAGAGTTTTCTCTAAGTCTTTGGGTCTTCATTTCTGAAGGCCCCTGTGTCACACAAAACTTTGATTAAATAAATGTGTTATGTTTTTCTCTTGTTAGCCTGTCTTTTGTTTTGAATGACAGCCTTGACCCTTATGATAGGTCTTTTGGTGTAAGAGTGCCAACGACGACCCATCCCAATCCCAGGTGATCACCCTTTCCAAGAAGCATAGATCTTTGGGTCTAAGCTGAAGCCAGTAATTCCAAAAATTGTTTAATCTGAAATAGACTATTTAAATCAGTGTCCCTCAGATTTGATGGAAAACAAAAATACTCTATTTTTAAAAATTTTTCAAAATGTTTCACTGTTACTTAAGAAATTATTCAAGTGAACCGCTAATGCAGACTTAAATTATTTTAATTATATTTTATGTAGATTGGGACAAACATAAAACAAGTCATAAACTCCTTATACTTCTAGATCAATTAAACAAAATCTAATACAGTACAATATTATTTTGACATAATAGAGGATACTATTTTGTCAAAGTTGAATCACCATTTGTAATACCAATATATCAATAATAGTAGGACATGGAACATTTGAATTTGGTACAAATAGATTGCCATGTGATGATTTGATTCCCTCATGATTTTTTCTCCATTTGTACTCCTGTGATATCCTTTGGCTTTAGTTGCCAAAGACAAATGTTTACATATTAAATATTCCTCTGCTCACTTCTCATTTGCCTATGGCACTAAAAATAATCCTATACTATTTTGCCTAAATATGACCTGGATAAAAAGACAAGCATTGGCATAAATATCACATGAAAGTATTCTGTCATGATTATCCAGAAGATTCACATATGTTTTTATCATTTGTATTAAAATCAAATTAAAACACAATGCTTAAAAATTATCACAGATGATTTGTAGACCTCCTAAATGCAGAAGCAAGATGAAAAACAAACAAAAATAATTAGTTTAATTAAAGAGTACTTTCTTCAAAACCTAGTGAAATATCCAACTTATGCTAAAACCCCATGGAGTCAAAGAAGACTGACCATTTTGAAGTCAAACTTTGGGTTCTTTTAAAATCACTATATAGGCAAAACCATGTTTCAATCAGTTCATAAAATACGTCTCACGGTACTGCAAGACTCTTTCTTGCATAGTTTGTGTGTGTCACCTGTAACCTCAAAAAAGTCTAATGTTGAACTTGAATTATAAAATAGATTCTAACCTTTTGTTTTCTCTAACTGCTCTGTCTCCTTTCTTCCAAGAGATGGTTGGTTTTGGAGAGCCTTGGGGTTTGCACTCTATGACAACTTCTTGGTCTTTGGTAACAATTATTGTTTTCTTCAGTTGATTCAGTGCAAAAGTGGGAGCTGAAGCTATTAAAAAAGCAAATGTTAGTTTCTACCAGAAGCAATGACAATAATCTCTAATGGGTGATTCATGAAGATCTTGTAACTTTTTCTTCTGGGAGGCATTTCTCATAAAATCATAGTATATCTACACATGAAAAAGGCAGTAGCTCAAAATTTTACTTATTATTAATTAATATGTACCTTAGTACATTAGCAGGTGATTTCATACAATATGGGATCTACAGGTAAAGGCTATTTCAAAAAATGACATGTTCTAATTATGATTACCAACTTCAATTATGAAAGACTAGTGAATGACCTTGGCAAAAGAGCAAAAGGCTAACTGACAGAGTCCATTTGACCTTCCTTTGGTAAGATGGAGGTGACCTGCGAAAAAGACAATCCTGTGTCTTCCATTTCCCATCTACGAATCTTAATTTATTCTGTATATTACTTTAATATTATAAAACATTAAATGTTTTATATAATACATTGTTTAAAAATTAATTTTTAAAATTGAATTATTTGAATTTCAATTAGCAATTTTACTTGTAATTTTTCACTTAGGTTTGATCATTCATTCATAAATACTGTGTATACTATAATTTAGATCAAAACACTTTTGAATCTAAAAGAGAACCTGAAAGATGTCTACAAGTCCACAGTATCTGTGACATTTACTTTTACCAATCTGATATTATATGTATTTCATATTATATATATAAAATATATCATATAGCAACATAATGCATGTCACAACATTGAAAAAGATATGTATAGAATTGAGATAGGTTAAGAGATTTTTTAAAACCAAAGAAATTAGCCAGGCCTGGTGGCTTATATCTGTAATCCTAGCACTTTGGGAGGCTGAGGTGGGCAGATCACTTGAGGTTAGGAGTACAAGACAAGCCTGGCCAACACGGTGAAACCCCATCTCTACTGAAAATGCAAAAATCAGCTGGGTGTGGCTGTGGGTGCCTGTAGTCTCAGCTACTTGGGACGCTGAGGCAAGAGAATCGCTTGAACCCTGGAGGCGGAGGTTGCAGTGAGCAGAGATGGCATCACTGCACTCCAGCCTGAGCGACAGTGAGATTTTGTCTCAAAGAAAAAAAGTTAAAAAGCTAAAGAAATTTATGAGGAGATAGTTGCAAGTAACTTTTTTTTTTTTTTTTTTTTTGCCTCCTGGGAATAGAATTTACAAAAAGTAATTTTGAAAATATTTCTTGTGAATGATAAGGGTTTGAGAAATGTTTCAGGGCTACTAACTAGGTGAAGGGTGAATCAGCCTTTTAATTCAGTGCTATTATACTGTGAGTTGACAAGAAAGTTCATTAACATTTGATTGTTTAGAATGAAGGAGATTGAAAGGAAGAATCCTGTAACTATTTTGGATGGATTTGTTGTAATGTGGAGAAATTTCAACTGCAAATATTCATAATTCAACAAATCACTTTAGGATGTATTACATTTAGCTGATATGTAAATGGTGGGCTCCAAGATTCCTGAGATCTTTGGTGTTTCTCTTAAGTTATGCTTTGAGAATTTAAATTTAAATGGGGAATAGAAAACACACTTGGGCTTCTGCCCGCTTTGGAAAGACAATGAGTGAGTATCTTTCTTTACATTACAAACATCCCTGAACCAGTTTAGGAAAAAATCAAAGTGGGAAAAGTAAAATTCATTCCAATGGCTCATATATGCTTTTTCTGGGTAGTCTATTTCACTGGATGGATTGTTTCCTGTAGTATTTAAATAGTGAAGAAATGCAGTGCCTGGGTTACATTCTTATCAAGGGTGTAACCCTATGAGATTGTAGTGCCTGGCATCAGGAAGCCTTTCCCTGTTAAGTAAGGAAGGTATTAGTTGATGCCCCATGAGGAGAGAGTGATTTAGCCTGGAGTCTTGCTTTGCAGGAGCCACACAGCTACTGATAGGAACTGCCTGGGAAATTATTAAGCATTGCTATGGGAGCATGGACAGGCTGCTGGAATTCTATATTCTGATCTCCTACCCTCAAGGCATTCTTCCTTGGAAGTTAACATGTATTTCTTTATATGATTTTTTTAAGTGCTATAGCAAAGACGTATTGTGTAAACCTTTTAAGATTAAAACTAAAGTTAGAAAAACTATATGAACAAAAAGTTATGGGACGAACTATACACAACATAAACCTGTCTACTAAAGTTAAAAAAAATCAGCAAGACATAGTATTTCTTTTCAAGCCATAAAATAGATTTTTACAACCACATCATAAACCTTCAGTATAGTAAAAATTAGAGCATGAAAAGAAGCAAGGTTTTTTTTTTCAATTTATTCACTTAGAAACTGCATACCTAGAATCTTCAGCTCAGCACTAGCGTAAATGGCTCCATACTTATTTTCAGCCAAACACTGATACATTCCAGCATCTGATTGATTCACATTGTGGATCATCAATACTCCATTAACCATCTCAACCCTACTCTGTAATGGAATTAAAAAAATTAGATCTAGAAAGTAAACAAATAACATGGATTTTATGGGTATTCTCTCCTAGACTAAGAAAAAACAAGTTTGCAATTAATACAGTTAAACATTATTTGGCCACTTAGCAATGTAAATGTACTGTTCATTATTTTATTATAACATGCCACTTGTAAATTATAGTTATTTATTGGTTGAAAAAGAAATTACAATTTTTTTGTAGTTATTCTGACAAGTTTTACTTTCAGTTTGGTTTTTAAAGTGAGGTGTCTTTTTTGGTACACTAGTTGAGCTTGTGAAATATAATCAGCAGGTGATGCTTTTATTTGCATTCCGTTTACAAAGGGAAAGAAGGATTCATATAGTAGAAAAGACTGAGGTTGTAGACACATGAGATCAAGGTTAAAAATAGCCCAGGTCATAAGAACAATCCCTTTACTATATGGATCCAATCAGGAGTTTGCCATTTTCACTCACTTCCCAAAAAACTAACACAGATAGAAAACTGCCTTGTGACTCGATTCTAGATAAAATTATTGGTCAGACAATATACTTCAGTATCATAAGATAGTATAAAAAACAAAAAATTGAGCATGTGCAAATTAAGGTAACCTCAAGTCAAGAGCATATTTCAAAAACAAATTTAAATTTTAAATGTTGTTAAACCTCCAAATGTCTTGTCTACTTAATGCCAAGCAAATCATTAAAAAAAAAACTCTTAGTTGGCAGTGCTTTGTCTATCAACGAAGATACCGAGCAATTTTAGGTGATATCTAAAGGTTAGCTACAAATGGAAATAAATCTATGATAATATTGATAGTTTCATAAAAATTTATAGGATTGAAAACAGTTTAAAGAAACACTGTATTACCAAAAAATGTAATGAGGTAATTAAAATTTTAAAATGCTTACATATTTGTTATGTTTCTCACTCAAAATATATTAAAATATATGACTACTATATCCCAGACATTGAGTTAAATTCTCAGTTAATCCCCGTAACATTCATCCTTAACACAAACATGTCCTATTATACGAATCAGAAACAGGAAAAGGCTTTCAATAAGACTAAAGAAGCCTAGTTTGTCCTGTGTGAAATCTCGCTAAAATTACAGCAGAACAGGTTAATAACTCCCAACAGTACCTGAGGTGAGAGGGGTACTCCATTCTTCAGCCAACGATACGTGGGTCTGGGTTTTCCAGTAGCCTTACATTCCCATCGGAGAGGGCTCCCACTGTCTAACTGAGTATCATTCAGTTTTTCTACCCAGTGTGGGTAGGCTGTAAGTATGTAAGCAGTAAACAAGGATGATTTCATTTCTCAAACGCTTTACCAAGTTTAAAATTTACATGGAAAAATTCAACGTATTTTTTTAAAAGCAATTCATTCAACCATAGGTATTTTGAAGAAGCACAGCATTGCGTTACACACAAAATTCTATTTCCTGTACCCCCAAAAAATAGCAGTGAAGATATTTTGATAATATAAAATGCTATTTTAACTATGCAAAATCTTCTTCTTCTTTTTTTTTTTTTTTTGGACTTTAAGTGGTTTAGTTATCCCCAAGGCACCTGAACCAGTTTAATAGGAAGTCAGGTACTAGAGTCAATTGCTCTTTCAATGTAGTGGGGCAGCATTAGCACGGGTAGAAATATACAGTGTATCTACTCAACTTGTTTCTATCTCTCTGTGTATATATATAACACCTGAATGACTTTGGAAAAATGATTTGTGAATCCAGATTTCACTGTAAAATTTTTCTTAATTTACATTCTTGCAATATAATTTTTTTATTTGTGCAAAATTGTTACAGAGGAAAATTTATTTTATTAAGAATGAGATACTGTTGTAATTATATGAAATCTTAAGATACAAGTTAAAGTTCATTTCCACTATTGGCCAATTTTTAAGGAAAAATGTTGAATAAAGCTGACTCTTTCTTTACAAATATTCTGTTTAAAACAGTCAAAGAAATACGTATAAAAATATTGCACTGAATTTATTATTTCTAACAACATTTTTGGCAAAAACTGTAAAATATTTATATGTGCTACTGAGGGCTTTGATCATTCATTCATTTATATGTTGTTTCATATATGCTACATAGTTCTTGTTCGATCTTAGAGGCTATTAAGAATACAGAAACAGAGCGGCTCTAAAAGAGTTTTTGCTGCGGTAGAGGTGGTCTAATGTCACTGCCAAGGAAGAGGAGAGCATGTGAAAAAAGATGTATTAAACAACTGCACGTTGGACCTGGGACGGTGCTCATGCTTGTCATATCAGGAATTTGAGAGGCCAAGGCAGAGGGATTACTTTAGCCTGGGAGTTCCCAGCTCGGGCAACATGGTGAGACCTTGTCTCTACTAAAAATAAAAAAAAAAAAATTATTCAGGTGTGGTGGCACATGCCTATCGGTCCAGCCACTTGGAAGGTTGAGGCAGGAGGACTGTTTGATCATGGGAGGTTGAAGCTGCACTGAGCCGTGATCATGCTATTGCATTCCACTTTGGGTGACAGAGTGAGAACCTGTCTCAAAAAAGAAAAATAAAAAATAAAGAAAACTACACATGCATGTCAGAATAGTGGGTATAACGGAGTAGCAGATGTCCGAAACCAAAGCCAGTTTAGCAGGGAGGAGAAAGAGCAAGAAAGAACTCACATTTATTAAATGCTAGTGCTAGTCATTACCATGTCCTAGACACTGAGCCAAATTCTCAATTAATCCCTGTAACATTCATCCTTCAAACAAACATGTCCTATTTTATGAATCAGATTTTGACTCAAAGAGGTTAAAGAAATTTACCCAAGGTCACAAAGTTAGTTACTTGTTTCTAAGAGGGAATTTTGCTTTTATTAGCTTACTGGTCTTCTGGCCAATATAGTCTAGACTTTAGAAGCCCCACTTTGGCATAGCATAGTCAGGATTTGTAGACCTTGGAATACATTCTGTGATTCAGCTTCTAAGCCTGCAAGCTATCATTCAAAAATCTTTACCATAGTGAGTTTCAAATATTCATCATGATTTTTGTACCTGCCTTCGGAAATCATCTCTTTGTAGTTATGTGTCATATATGCTAAAATGCTGATAGGAGTGATGAGATACACAAACAATATTAAACTCTACTTTTACATCTGGCTTTTCTGTAAACTTTACTAATCTGCCAGGATACTTTACACTATGCATGACTCCTGTAAGCCAGATAAACTGGTGTGTTATCTCCCAAGCACACACTGTATTTTATTTAAACTGTTCACTCTACATAGAGTGTTCTACTTCTATTCTGTCTCTTTTAATTCTACTCACGATTCAGTGTTTATTCTAAATTAAGTAAGAGGTATTAATCACAGCCTCAAAGAAGAGTCATGTGCACCTCCTCTGGACACCTGTAGTTCTTATTCGTTTGGAAAATATTCATGTCGTAGCTTGTTACCTCTCTTCTGTTGCTGACTTAAATTGTTATTTAATATTTTAGTTGGTTAGAATTTGACACTCAGCTAGACAGTGAGATCATTAAGAGTAGAGATGATTCTAAACTTAATGTTAGGCGAAACAGTGTCCTACCTATAATAACTGATTGTATTTGTTAGACTTATTGATCTATCTCTAAATGTACCATGACTGTAGCCTTTAAAATAACTTCAAAAGAGATTTTTAAAAGTTACAGAAATGAAGAGCTAGGAAAGAAAGAACAGTTAAAATATTTAAATAAAAACAGATTTGACATCTGAGAAAACAATCCATTAGAAATTGGAAGAAAAAATTTAGAGTCCTGATTCCAAAACAAATTTTTCATAGGAATCAAACATATGATTAATGACATTAATACAAATATGAATTAATTTTTTCCTTCCTTTCTTTAGATTTTTTTTTTGGATACCATTATAGGTAAAATGCTTACTCTGAAGATACGAACATAAATGTGCTATCATATCTGTTTGCTGTAAGCTCAAACTCTAGTGGGTGAAAGGCCATTAAAATGTTATTCAAATTCATTCTACCAAGAATTCTACAAGTAAAAGTGGCCTGTTACACTGCCCTCAAAATTGAAAAAATGCTATCAGTATGTCAATTATTGGCAGATAAAAGACAGATGTCATTTCATATTTTGTTGCTTTGAACACTGTACCTTGTGTGTGAATCTTTTGTACCAAACTATGTTGTTATGTGTAAGAGCTATACTTCTGTAGCTTTATCTCTATGTTGCATAATAGCAAAAAAAAAAAAAATCCTGAAATGGCATAACTTGGTGATGTCACTTGGCTGCTTAAGATGCCATATGCAGTTAGTATATATAGCCTGCTTGTTAATTGACTTGATATAAAAGCTTTCAAGCAAGTCCAAACAAATACATACACAAGCACACAAACGCATAAACATACACACACAAACATGCACACAGACACACACACAAGTGGAATTTGGGTTGTAGATTGTGTTACAATGAAGTTAAGCTCTACATTAGAAAAATAAATTTAATGTCATAATTGAATAAACATTAATTAACATTAAGGCTATGGGAATTTATGAATGGCTATCCTTCACAAAATACATGGAAAATGTAGGTTATGTTCAATACTAGATCAGCTTGACTTCTACAACAGATTTCTTGTTTACATTGCAAGATATTTTATAAACCACTAGGTCTATACTATATGGTCCGAGGCAAAAAACATTATGTGAAAGGGCAGTGGTAAAATTTTTAAAATAAAACATTAAAAACTGAATTAAGGCCTGAAATAATTTGTCTTAGGCTGTAATCTGAAAAAGACAGTACAGTACTTGCAAGATTCTTACAAAAACAACAAAATTACTGGTAACATAAAATCAGAAACATAAAAGGTTACATTTAAACTTTTTTTTTTTTTTTTTGGCAGAGGACTGCAAGTAACTAAAGGGCATTGGCTTTGGCTTCTGAATAATAACATGGGGTGAGCAGATGCCAAGACGTGGTCTGCATTATGGAAAGTCTTTCATCTGTCTGGGAAAGAAAAATCACAGGTTGGGCCACATTTAAAACAAACCTAATAACTTTTTAAAATCTAGCTTTTGTCAAGCCACCTATTTTAGGATGTGGAAAACTGAAGAGACATATGGCACTTTAAACCCAGGAGCTGTTAAAGCCTCACCAGATGCACCGTACTTATGTAATACATTTCAGCTTCAGATCAGTCTCTGGGTTACATTTTATAAAATGCTAAGCAGATGTGCATAAAGAAAACTCTTGCTTATTATCTCTTGTCATTAGAAATTCTGTAACTCTCTACTGATAAATGCTAAGTGTTATTGGCCTCTTTTGTTGCTTCTGTACTCTTATGTATTGAGGAGTCAACATATTTTATCCGCATAGATCACTTTCAGTATTATGACTCTCAGCTGTAGGCCAATGAGAGGTAATGTGTTATATTGGAGAGATTATACAGTTGGGGATGAATATGGGTTCAAATTCTAGTGCTACCATGCCCTTGCTCTATTATGTCGCTGAGAATGAGTTATTTAACTGTAATGAGTCTCAGCTGTAAGCTGTAGATAGTAATTCCTATTTCAATGAGCTACCATGATGATAGAAGATAATATATATTGGTTACTTTCCCCCCAATCCATTGCCCATGTGTTTTCTAGCAACTGTGAATATACATATGGCATCACTTTCATAATAACAGTAGAATTCAAGGCAAGAATTTTTTCTCCATAAAACAGGATTGAAAACTGTCTTTAGGTATGAAATTATTAACCAGGAATCAACAATTTTATATCATTTCCTAGAGTAAATATTTAATATACTTTAACAGCTAAAACATCTTTAAAGATCAGACCTAACGTACATAAACAGTATTTTGAAGAAAAGAAAAAAGAACAAAAACTAATGGCAAGGATTTTAATATATCATACAGTTTTCTGTAACATTAATAAAATGTTAACTATAGTATATAGAAAGTAGAAATTATCTGCTCTCGATGCCATTCTCATCTCATGCCTTAGTTCAGGTTCTCAGTGTCTCACTGAGAAGTAGCATGCTATCCTTGGGGGTGGAGGTAGGATTTGAATCCTGGTGTCACTGCCAGTTTCAGTTGGATTCTGGTTCTACTATTTGTTATTAATGGGTCCTGGGGTAATAAGTTCCTTAATATTTTGAGGTCTAGTTTCTTGTCTGTCAAATGGGAATCTTAAGACCTAAGGGTTATTGTGAGTTAATGTATGTAAAGCACCTCGTAGTAATGTCTAGAAGGTAAGCTCTTGGTGATTATTAGTTCCCTTCATTAGTTCCTTAGTCTTTCCTGACTCTCATCTATTTTTCATAGTGGACATTATAAAATGATGTGCATACCTAAGCATTCATCTTTATAACAGTATAGAATCATAATAAAAATTATCCACTGTGTGCTGAACAGAATTCACAGGGCTGGATGAAAAAAAAAGTAGACTATTTTGAAAGAGCTTACAATCAAATTGCAGACGATAGAAGCGATTAACATTTGTGAGGATACTGTCCAGAGGTTTTATGAAGATAAGGAAATCTATAATACCACTCTACACTGAAAATGAAACTGTATTCCTTTACTGGATATTTAGTACAGTACAACTAACTTTTAAGCGTTCTGGATAAAGGAATATTTTAATACTGATACAATTCTAGTTGAAATAGTAAATATAAACTGTCTAGAGGTCATAGTGACCGTCTTTATAGAGTGACAAGTTACTAGTTGGTGACGCACATGATACACATTTAAACTCACAGATCACACATCTTTATATAATGAGATTTTTGTGTACATAAAATATTTCCCATTTTGAGAACTCCTTATAAAACTGCTTAAATGATGTTTGTCCTTCCTGCCTCCATCTTTCCCCCTTCAGTTACCCCTTTTCTCCTTACTTTGTTCTGCATTTCTTTTGTCATTTTGTCATTTATTTCTTTTCCTTTTAATTGAGAACTTTACCAAGCAAGAGTTCAACTTGCATTAGAACTATAGAAACAAAATTTTATATGATGAGTTAAAACCAGGTCTTTTTCATCAATCGTCAGAAACTAGAGGGGACAGAAATAGCCAAAGAAATGACTTAACCCATGAAAATCCTATTATCAAGAAAGGCATACCAAATAGAATATTTATGCAGTTTATGCTAAGGTTCAAATTATTTCCAAAACTTAGTATTTTAATTTTTCCAAGTTTTATTTCTTTTTTATGAGTATTACTTTTAAGACCTATTTATGTTATATTAGACATGTAAGTGTATCTTAACTTTAATTTAACTACCATGGACTTCTTGATGTTGTATCATTTGTTGTTTTATGTTTACAATGTAGATACTGAATTAAAAACAGTAAAATCTGCAGCTTAAACTTATGTGTACTATCTATATAGCACTTTTATAATGCTTTGACCAAGAAAAGGGACTAGAAATGCTGCCTTAGATCCCTGGTTCATTTTTTGAAACTAATAGCTAAGCATAAGTATTCTTGCAATTGTACTTTCAAAAACAATGTGCTACCATTGTTTTCAGTACTACATGAATACTGACTGTTTGGATAAAATGGGTAGTCTGTACTTCTAACAGATAGAATCCCAATTACAGAGCTTCCTACAGTAATTCATTCTATTGAGAGAATATTCTAAATATAAACCATGAGACAGTGAAACATCCATTCATCATGCTATCCATATCTACTGCCAGTCAGGTGGAAATGACTGAATCCTATCTACACTTTACAGAGTTTGATGGGGAGGAAAGCCCTCATGTCTAACATGACAGTTTTAAAAGTACAAAAGTTGGATGAATACATGATAACCGACATACTTTTATTTTTTATTTGTAATATTTTTTAAGACAGGGTCTAACCCAGGCTGGAATACAGAGGCACTATAATGGTTCACCGCAGCGTTGACTTTCTGGGTTCAGGTGATTCTCCCACCTCAGGCTTCTGAGTATTTGGGACCACAGGAGTGCAACGCCATGCTCAGATAATTTTTTGTATTTTTTTTTTTTTTTTTTTTTTAGAGACAGGTTCAGCTGCTATGGCCTCCCAAAGTGTTGGAATTTTCAGGTCTGAGCCACTACACCTAGTTACCAAGATACTTTTAGAAGTGAAATAGGACACTCTTCATAATTGTCATAGGGCAGCAGATGTAAAGTGGGATTTTCTAGGGCAAAGCAAGGTGTATGGCCTCCTGATGGAGCCTGGTAGAAAGCTACCCTAAACATGGGCTGAAGAAAGAGTTCACATGCTTTCAAGATATATTCCACACCTGTCACAAATATATGCCAAGTAGCCAGCCAGCCCAGTTTCTCTTTCTAAGGAACAATCTAGATTTTTTTTTTTTTCTATTCAAAGTGATGCACGCTTTGGGTAGGTTTGTCTTTACCCAGATGGCCTACAGTGCATGACAACGACACCCCAGATTGTTTAAGTAGCACTTTCTCACTAGAATGTACACCAGTAATAAGGAGTGAAAGCAATTTTTTTTTTTACATTTCTGGAAACAGTCATCATTACCTATGAATTAAGTAGCTGGGGTTAAGGGAGGAGTAAGTAGAGTCATGCTATGTAGGAGCCTCAGTCCCTAGAACATACAATCTAATTCTATTTAGGTGTGGGCCATTCTTCGAACACAGAGAATTCGTACTTTCCTCTGATAGCCTTCAGAGTAACAGGCATGCTTTACATTATTTGTGATTTTCAGTAGTAAAGTTCCGGTTCAACACTTGTCTTTCAGTATCAGATTTTTATCTGTACAGAGGGATGGTAATACTTCAAACTGTTGGTGTGAGAATAAAATGAACGTGTATTTTAACATTAATCTTTGCTCCACTGGGGTACAGAAAAAAACTTTTCCCTATGGCTAGAGAGCGTTGTCTTAATGATTTGTTTTATGAATTATGAACAGTTATAAACTTTGTGGATTTCATCCAAATATTCATGGCCTAAAAACAATCAAACCACTACTAATATTTCAATCTTAGAAACATTTAAATGTCTATGTCCTTTTCTTCCAGATGCTCTCCCCTGTTTAGCTCTTAAGTTACCAATCCTCTCTAAAGCTTTTCCTGACTCCTCTGAGTAGAATGCAGTAGACTCTGCATTCCCACAGTCCTCTTCACATGCCTTTATCACTGCACACAGAATGCTCCACTCTAATGTGGAGTTTGCTTTTCCTCTAGTCCAGTGGATCATGAGTTACTTCAAGGCTCTATTGCTGGCATGTAGAGCAGTACGAGGCACTTAACAAACATTAACTGTATCAATGAATGAATGGATAAAATGTGCAATGCATAATCAATTTGGTTAGAATGCTAAATTCCTAAAGGAGTTGTTAAAGATGAAGAAAGACTGGTTGAATTCAGTTATTAATATTTCAAAATACTCTTTAGGAGTTCCTGTAAAGGGCATTAAGCTTTTGGAACTGATCTTGAGATACAGGGACAGTCATGGTTTCCTGGAGGAAACAGCCAATATGAAATTTGGATAACTATATATTCAAAGCATCTATATTTGCTTATTTCAATGCTCTAGCCTATTGCTTCTCTTTTTAGTGTCCTCACCTAGAAAATGAGAATACCCTAACTTACCCATTATATATATACTGTAAATCAAATATGAAAAGTACAAACAACTTTGAACTTTAGAAGTAAAGATGAGATTGTAAAAACTTTTGAACGAGATTTTCCTAATTCTTAGACACAACCTGGTTGACTGGCATTTTTGGACAATATAAACACTTGCAGGCTGTAGGGGCTATTTATCATACAGATGTATTAATTTAGGCCACAGGTCAGCAAACTTATTCTGAAAAATGCTCAAAAGCAAATATTTCAGTCTTTGCAAGTCAGCTGGTCTCTGTCTCTATTTAATTCTGCCATTGCCAGGCAAAAACTGACAGGTGATATGTAAACAAGTGGGTGTGACTTTGTTCCAACATCATTTACAAAAAATGGCACCTGGGCAGGATCTCGTTGATGGACACTAGATTGGAACCTCTGATTCTGGCCAAGTTGTAGAATAAGTTAATAAGTTTTCCAAGATTTTTAACTTGTCAGAGTATAGTGCTGGTGCCAGGGAAATAGCTCATTTTTAAGGACGTAAGTTCTGTATGCTGTACAAAGACACCGATAATTCCCCATTCATTTATAATTTAAATCATTTCTATGTATAGGGTAATTTGACATGATGCCTTACCATACGAATGAAGTATGATTATAAATTATTACTTGGTTTTTATGTACCTAACAAACAATATTTAGTTAAAGTTAATTTCCACTTTCAGTTTGACTTTTGGGACTAGAGCAATCATGCTTTGCTGAAAACACTTACTGTATACTTGTAATTGTCCACGAAAGGAATTTTTTCCACGTGAGTTTTCAGCTCTGCACTCATAAATGCCTGCATCATCCAGCTGTACATTCGGTATTTCCAGCACCGCCTGAGATTTCCGCAGACGTGCCTTACTAGGAATATAACCATTAACCTTCATCCATGTGATTGTTGGAACGGGGCTACGATAGGGAACAAAAATACTGTTAATACACTCTCCACTGTTAGGAACATAGATTCTGTTATCTGGTAATTTAAGCACTTAATAGGCTGAGTGCAATAAAATGTAATCACAATTAAGGACCATGTGCTGGTTGATATATTTCACTTTCCACGTGGGTTGTCTGGGAAGTAGATTATAAAAAGAATTTCCTTTTCTTTCATATTTCAGGAAAGCAATTAAAAGACAATATAAGTTGTAACCAATTATGATTTATTTTTAAAAACATTGTTAGCCAGGTGCAGTGGCTCACACCTGTAATCCCAGCACTTTGGGAGGCCAAGGCGGGCAGATCACCTTAAGTCAGGAGTTCGAGACCAGCCTGGGCAACATGGTGAAACCCCATCTCTACTAAAAAATACAAAAATTAGCCAGGCATGGTGGTGGGCGCCTATAATCCCAGCTATTCTGGAGGCTGAGGCAGGAGAATCGCTTGAAACCGGAAAGCGGAGGTTGCAGTGAGCCGAGATCGCGCCACTGCACTCCAGCCTGGGCAACAAAAGCCAAACTCCATCTTAAAAAAAAAAAAAAAAGAAAAAAAATTGTTATGTTTTTGTAAATGACAACAGTAACTTGGCAAAATTACTAACATATATGTGCTTATTGCAATGAGTCAAACCAAAGGGTTAGGAATTAAGTAAATTAAAACTTGTCCTGCCTCCAACACTGCAAATCTTATTTTCTGGCCAAATAGCAAATACAGTTTACACATAATCTCCCACTTCATCTCCGTGAAGCATATGTTCACACATGTAATATTTCTGTTTTGTTATTTTTTAAATATAAATTTTGTATATTTGCTATTTTATTATTTAATGATCATATTCAATAATTAGCCTGACTTATTCTGCTTAATAGTTGCAAATTATTTCATTGTATAGATGTACCAGCTTAATCAACTGCCCCCTTTTAGGTAAACATTGAAAGCAGCGGAGGTTTTTCTTTTTTTTTTTTTTTTAATATTTTTTGGGACAGAGTCTTGCTCTTTCGCCAAGGCTCGAGTGCAGTGGCACGATCTCAGCTCACTGCAACCTGCACCTCTCGGAAGCAATTCTCCTGCCTCAGTTTCCCAAGTAGCTGGGATTACAGGTGTGCTGCCACCATGCCCGGCTCATTTTTGCGTTTTTAGTAGAGATGGTGTTTCATCATGTCGGCAAGGCTGTTTTCGAACTCCTGACTTCAAGTGATCTGCCCGCCTAGGCCTCCCAAAGTGCTGGGATTACAGGCATGAGCCAGCATGCCCGGCATTTTTCTTTTTTTAATCATTAAAAATCAATGCTGCTATAAATAACCTTGCACATATTTCACGTACTATTCTATTTTCTGTAGCAGTCATTCACAAAAGCAGGACTGATGGATCAAAGGACATGCACATTTTCCATTTTAATAAGTACTGCCAAATTGTTTTTCAATAATATACAAGCAGTTTCCCTACCTATTGGTAATATGTGATACTGTTTCCCTATATCTTTGCCAGCATCGCATTTGATCAATCTGCTTGAAGCTTTGTTAGTATTTATAGGGCAAAAAATGGTATTTTATTGCTTAATATTTTCCTGAACCCTAAGGAGGTTGAACATCTTTTCATGATTTTATTGGCCATTTGCATTTGCATTTCTGTGAAATGTTTGCTTATGTTTTTTTTATTATTTTGCTTGCTTTATTCGCTTATTTGTGTTAATTTCTTAGAGTTCTTTGTGTTTTAGGGCCATAGAACTATTCTTCCCCAGTGTATTGTTAGTTTATGATGGTGCCTGTAATACAATTTTATAATCATTTTTGGCGAGAAGAAAACACGTCTATAGTTTCCTTCCTGACTTCCGATTTTTTGTGTGTTTAGAAAATTATCTATAAACCTAAGTTTGTCCGTATTTTCTGAAGTATTTGGTAGCATTTTGTATCATTTTAAAATGTTTGGATCTCTCACCCAACTGGACTATATTTGTTTATTGATGTGACATAGGGAATGTAAGTGATTATTTCAGCATCATTAAATAAGTAAAACTCCGTGTCCCACAATATTTAAAATGTTGCTTTTGTCATATAATTTGTTCCCACATATGTGAATCTGCTTCAGGCTTCTCAATTCTGTTCCACTGATTTATTTAGTACTATTTATATTTAATACACTTCATGCTTTGGACCCAGTCGACTTTTTCAGTTTGATTTCTCACTACTTCTTTCTGGATCTCCTGACCCAGAAACACATCCGTCTGTGTTTCCAATCATATCTGCTAAAATGCTACTCATCCTCTGAGACCTGTCCTAAATGCCTCCTCTTCAGCAAAGTCCTAATTTGTGTAGCCAGCTAGAATTTTTTCTTTTAAATAACAAAATGCTTTGTGTATCTTACTTATGTCTCTTGTAACAGTCTACCATAGATTATAACCGTTAAGTGTAAGATGTTTTCCTATTATTTTTTCCTAAGGAGTGATAGCAATGTTCTCCATTATAAGTGACATTATGATAAACATCCTTACGTATCTTCGAATACCTTTCTGCTTTATTCCTTAGGAATAAAACATAAAATTGAAGTTGCTGGATGAAGGAGTTGGCAATTTTTGCTTGTTGGTGTAGGTGCATGTATTCAATGTCCAGAAAGGATGAACCTTGCATTTTGGAATATCCTTTATATGAGTCTGACATATTATTCTTTTAATAGATCCTAGAATTTTTGCATATATTCAGAGGTGAGATTGTCTGTAGCTTATTAAGGTTGTTTGTGAGCTTATTCGTTGGTGAGTTCATGGTTTGTTTATGGATAACTTTGACAGATGCAGTAGCATAATGGTGAGTGACTGCTTGGTAAACAAGCCAGAATATTCCTATTTTCTGTATTCTGTATCAACTTAAATTGTAGGGAAATTATATTTGCCTTCATATACTGATAGGATTCTCACAAAGTTACCTGGGTCTGCCACCGTCAGTGGAGTTAGTTTTTTGACTGTGTTTTCCTTGATTGTATTGTTTAAATTTCTGCTTATGCCAACTTTGGCAATTCACATTTCACTAGAAAACCAACTATTTTATCTATAATTTCAATGTTTTAGCAGCAAGTTATATAAATTGTAATTGTTTAGTTTAAAACAGTCTTAATCACAGCTGGTTACATATTCTAGTAGTTAAGTGTAGGTTCTGCAGCCAGACTGACTGGGTATAGAGGTAGCTCTGCAACTACAAGTAACTTAACATTTCATTTCTTTAGGTTTCTCAATTGTAACGTATGGTGGAAATATTACGACTTATGTCAGAGAGTAGTTGTGAATCTTGAAAGATTTAAACAGCCTGGCACAAAGTAGCAGGCAAAAAACCCTAGTTTACAATAATATAATGATGCTCCTTGCATATTCTTTATAATTTATATGGTATGAATATATGTTTTCTGTATTTTCCCCCACAGAAATAACACTACATATTGGTTAGGAGCACGGACCTTCAGAGAAACCTGGGTTCTAATATGATTTGGGCACAAAGATGCTATGGTGACCTCGGGAAATTTGCCTAAGTTCTCTAAATTTTGTTTCTCATCTGTAAAATGAAGATATTTGTTTATTCCTCCAAAATGCAAATATCTTTAGGGCAGTGGAATTTTGTTAAAGCAGTATGTCCCCAGTGCCTCATATGTTTGGTATATTGTTAATAAATGCTTATGAAATAAGTGAATGAATGATTGTCAAAATACTATTTTGAAGATTAAGTGAGATAAATTATTATAAATTACTTAGTAAAATACATGGCATATTGTAAGCACCCAATAAATGATAGATATAATAAGTTTTAAATGATTGACTATGACAGAAGTTTGTCTATTTTATTGGTCTCTAAAATAAGCATTTTAAGTTTTTATTACTTTTTTGTTGTAATTCATGAGTTTCTGTTTTTAAATTTACTAATTCCTCTTATACTTTATATATATTTATATATTTATACTTTATAATGTATATACTTATACTTTATATATAATGTATATATTTATACTTTATATATAATTCCTATTATACTTTAACTTTTTGAGCTGAATGATCAGTATAATTATTATTCATGATTAATAATAAAATCATATGACTATCTTTTATGCTGACATCAAACGTATGGCCACATATGATACGTATTGATACACAGAGTGATATACACTTTCTACTTTCAGGAACCTGCTGAGAATCTTTGCATACAGAATTAATTTTTGGTACAAGTTCCATGTTATTGGGAAAAAAGTATATTTTATTTATGATAAAAGTTTAAAAATTAGTTTTTATATAGCTTTTGTTAGTTGTCATTCAGATATTGCTTTCATGTTTTTAATAATTTCAGAACAGTTTACCTCCTATGGAATCCTTGTACACTAAAATAACCCATATCAATAGATGCAAAGTATTCTGCTTGAAGCAGGAAAAAGGGTCCTGGAGTCTGCTCACTCCTCCCCTCACTCCCCAGAAAACTACTACTCTATGTCCTCTTTATTTTCATCTTCACTGATCTGTCAGACTGAGATAGGTGTGTTAATTTCCCACTACTATCATTACTACCAGTATCTTCTTATATAAGTTTTATTTTGTGTTTTGATGAATTTTCTCTCTGAAAATACCTGTTCATAAAAGTTATTATTATTTTTAGAGTTGTAATTATCCTTTACCAAATACAATGGCCCTCTTTCTAATTTTTGCTTTAAGTTATCCTTTTAAGAAACACTCCATTAACCTCACGCTCATTGTCTATTTATCCTATTATTTTTAGCTTTTTTTTTTCATGGTATGTCACTTTGTTTTAATCTAATTTCCTCTAAATGGCAAATGGTTAGATTTAATTTTTGACTTAAAAGCTATATTTGGTAATCTGCGTATTTTGATAGTGGAATTTTACTTTTTGATTTTGTTGCTCCAATTTATTAAATTGTTCTTATTCAGTTATCCCAGAATCACAAAATACAGAACAGCACATAACTTCATATTGAACGTTCACAGCAATAAAACTTGGAGTAAAAATAGTCATGGGTTAAAAATGATCAAGGAAGATATGACAATAAAAGTAAATATTCAGATTAAAAATAAAATAGACATTTAAAGACAAAAATATAATCACATAAACGTAAAGCTCAATGGCTGGGTTATACATCAAATTAGACATAGTTGAAGAGAATATTTCCAAAAGTGATAGATAGATTACAGCTTCATATACAGAATGAGGCACTGAGAGGAAGGGAGACAGAAAATACATAAATATGGGCATCAGTTAGTAGACATGTAGTATAAAGCTAGAGGGTGTAAGTCCAATCTAAGATAATAGATATAGAGATAGAGTTAAGAGAGAGTGAGAGCAAGAGAGAGAGAGAGAAGACTATGTAATATCTGAAAAGTATTCAGCATACAATTTTCCTAAAATGAAGGACATGAATCCATAAGCACAGGAAATACAATATATACAAAGCATGACTAAAGCCACAGAACACCTATGACATATATTAAAAGTAGCCAGAGAGGGAGACAGATAATTTACAAAATAACAATGATTAGCATGTCTACTGGCTTTTCAACAGCAGCAATGGAAGCAGGAAAAGATGTTGGAACAATTATGTTCAATATAGCGGAAAAGAGAGTAAAAGCACCTATAAACTAATAATTTTGTATCCTGTAAATTTTTCTTTAGGAGTGAAAAAGGAGATAAAGATATCAAATCTACAAATATTGAACAAGTTTTTCACCAATAAACCATTACTAAAGGATATACACTTCAAGAAGGAGAATAATGACTCCAGAAAGAAAGTTTAAGATGCAAGAAGTGGTAAGAAAAAACACAAATAATAGTAATAGCAACAGCAATAAAAATAATGTGTGTGTATAAAAAGGGACAGTACTAAAATACTGATCAAAAAGAGCATGTAATGAAAAAAAAGAAGTCATAAGCTAATGTGTCCTGAAGTTCTTTCATTTTGGGGAGGAAGATGGTTAAGATATCGATGAGCTTCTGACTTTAGAAATAAATACTGAAATTAATGACAAAATCATAAAATAGTAGAAAAGACGAGTATAATTTTACAAACAAATGAGGTATATAGCAAAGGCTGGAAACCTCATCTCTTTCCAAAATCCTTTTTGTTTTTTTGGTCTCCTGGACATACATTTGCCTTTTTTTTTTTTTTTTTTTTTTTAGGCTACGGCTATGATGATTTCTGGCAATCAAGTATAGAAGAATTGTTTTTAAAAATCTATGACTCTCTACTCTTTTGTTGGGCAGTTTGATATCAATACCCAGAATAAATTTGTAAGTAACAAGTTGAAAATAGCAGGACTGAGTTTCTAAACGACTGTGTAGAGAAAAGTACAAAATTGTTACCTCACCAATGCTAACTAATAACATTCTGTCAGATGTTACATGAATGAGATATAAATGTATACCTTGCTAAGCTCCAGACTTTCTAGGGTTTCTTTTTTATGCCTTCTAGCATTATCTTACTAATATAGAACTTAATACATAAAAATGAAAACGGGTAACTGACAGAACAACACAGTAAATATTTGGAATTTCCATGACAGTGAGGATGAAGATGGAAACGAATGCATACTGGAGAATGAGGAGATGAAGTGTCATGCTATGCAGCGGAAAACATTTGGTAAAACTGTCATCCTTGAGAGCTTAGAAAGGTAATCTGAAACGCTTCTAAACCTAGAAAAGGAGTTACAAGACAGAACGTTAAAAATGTGTGATTATTACTAGCTACATTCATCGAATTATTAGAAGAAAGACATGAGCTCAGGAAAATACTGGTTAGGTTGTTGGGAGAATAAATGAAAATAGAAAGAATGCAAAATGTGGGACCTTGGTCAGTATAGCAGATTAATTGAAAAACTGTTCTTAATTCTCCATCACTGCCTGTATTCACATCCTTCACTGGGTAACTTTGCACATCTTACCATTAGAAAATGGAGTCTCTTAACCCATGCTTTGAGTATGGCTTGCCTTATGATTTGCTTTGGCCACTATATTGTAGCTTTAATTCTTTTGTGCTGCTCTCACTCTTGGACCCTTGCCTTTACCATGAGAACAATCAGGAAAATTAGGATATAGAACATTTTTTATAAACCCCAAGTTCTTCCTCATATCTCTTCCCAATTATTTCACCCATGTCCCAGGCAATCAATGAGCTGATGTCCATAATTTAGGAACACTTTCACCAGTTTTATACTTTTATGTAAATTGAATAATACACTACGTAGTATTTTGAGTATGTCTTCTGTCTCTCTGTGTAAGATTTATAAGATTCATTTAAGTTGTTGTGCACATCGGTAGTTAATTCCTTTTAATCGCCGAGGAGTATATCGATATATGGATATGCTACAGTTTGTTTATCCAGACGCCTGCTGACTGTTGGACATTTGGTTTTCAGTTTTAGGCTATTATGAATAAAACTTTATACAAGTATTTGTGAACACACATTTTTAATTCTTTGGGGTAAGTAAAAAGCATAGAAATTCTAGAATGTACGGTAAGTAAATGTTCAACTGTATAAGTACTTACCAGACTATTTTTCCATTGTACCTGTATAATTTAACATGTCTACCAACAGTGTAGGAAATTTCCAGTTGTTCTACATCTTTGAAAATACTTGGTATTGTCAATCATTTAATTTTAGTCATTTTTGTAGTACTGTAGTGATACTAAAGTGTGGTTTCAATTTATATTGCCTGATGACTAACAACTTGGAGCTACTTTGGATGTTTTTATTAGCCATTCGCATACTCAAATCTTTGGTTCATTTTTTATGTTGCATTTTTTCCTTCCCAGCATTAAATGTAAGAATTATTAGTTCATACTGGATACAAGTTCTTTATCAAATATATATTGCACATATTTTCTTCCAATCTGAGCTTGCCTTTTTATTTTCTTACCATTGTCTTTTGACAAAAGCAGGTTTTAATTTTGATGAAGTTCTTTTAATCTTATTGTTTTCTTAGTGGTTTTTCGTTTTCTGTCTTAAGAAGTATTTTCTGACTCCAGAAAGTAAAAAGTGAGATATTGTTCTATGTATTTGTAGAATACATAGAAAATACATAGATTTACATTTAGGTATGTAGAAATCTATACAGAATACAGAGATTTACATTTAGGGCTATGATCCAATTTAAGTTTATTTGCTGTTTATGGTACAGGATATGGTTAAAGGATCAACTTATTTAACAGTGATATCCATTTGTTTCAGCACTACTTATTCAAAATATTACCCTTTCCCTATTGAATAAAGTGGCATTTTTTTGATGGACTTTAGAAGGCAGGTAAATTTCTGAGCTTTCTTCTGTTGCATTAATCTATAAGCCTATCTTTATGCCAATGTCTCATTTTCTTGATTATCATTACTTTTAGAATAAATATTGAGTAAATCTTTAAATTAAGTAGTGCAAGTCTTCTAAGTTTGTTTCTTTTTCTACCTTTGGCTATTTCATATGCTTTGAATTTCATGTAAGTTTCAGAAGTAGCTTGCTAAATTTCACAAAAGTAGAAGCAGGCTAGGATTTTGACTGGATAATATTTAATACATATATCAACTGTGAGAGAATTGACTTCTGAACACTATTGAGTCTTGTATTCCATGAACACGGTATATCTCCTTATTTTGGTATTCTTTTATTTCTCTCATAAATGTTATGCAAATTCTCAGTGTACAGGTCTTCTGCGTATTTTGTTTAGTTTATCCCTAAATATTAATTTTAGGGTTTTTGTTGTAGATTCTTGAAAATACACATACACATTTATGCCACCTCCAATCAGAGGCAGGTTTATTCCTTCCTTTTCCATCTCAAAGCCATAATTATTATTTTTAATGCCTGACTATACTGTCCAGGTCTCCCGTTAAGTGTGGAACAGAGGTGGTGATAAAAGGAAAGGGGAAATATTTTAGTCTCTTACCATTACGATGCTGAATATTGACTTTTTGTAGGTGTATTTTTCCTAGATGAGAAAGTTTCCCTCTAATCCTACATATTTGACAGTTTCATCGTGTATAATGGATTTTGTTATATGCATTTTCTGTATTTACTAAGATGATGTAAGATTATTTTCTTTTATCCCATTCATGTGACTAATTATATAAATTGCTTTTTAATAGTTAAAACACTGTACATTCCTGAGATAAATCCAAGTTGGTTGGCCACGTTATATAATTTCTTCTTTACATGTTTGATAGAATTCATCAACGAAACTAACTGGGACTCAATTTTTTATAGTATAAGGGTTTTTAATTACAAATTTAATTTCACTGATAGATATGGAAAAATTCATATTTTCTGTTTCTACTTGTGCCAGTTATAAGAATTATTTATTTTAAGGAGCTTTTTTATTTGACCTAGTTGTAAAATTAAATGTTGTCAGTTAACATTGCCTTCCTGTACTTTAAATGTTTTAGGATAGAGACGTAGTGATGTTTCCTCTTTCATGATTGATATTGGTTAAATTTTATCTCTTGTTTTTGATGTGTATCAGTTTTATTAATATTTTCTAAAAATGAGATTTGAGTTTTACTTTTTCCTTATTATCTGTCCATTTTTAATTTAACTGATATCTACTACTTAATCTTTCTTTTCTTCTACTATCTTTCATCTTAAATTAATTTCATTTTCCATTTGTTTAAGGTAGAAGTTTAGATCATTAAATTTTGAATTTTCCCTTTTAAATGACAAAAATTTACCATTAAGTATTGCTTTAACTATATCACACACATGTTGTGTTTTCATTATTATTCAGTTAAAAATATTTTCTACTTTCTTTTGTGATTTCCTCTTGATCATTTTGTTATTTAGATGTGTGTTTTGAATTTCTAAATATTTGGTGATTTTTAAAGTATTCTTTTGTTATTGATACATAATTTAATTTTGTTGCAATTAGAGAGCATACGCTCTTCGTTTTTAGTCTTTTTTAGGGGTAAGACTTGTTTTACGGCCCAACACATAATTTATCTTGGTGAATATTCCATGTGCAGATAAGTGTATTCTGCTGTTGGTTGGTAGAGTTCTTTAAATATCAATTAGGTCAAGTTGGTTAATAGCTGTGTTCATGTCTTCTGTACTTTACTGATTTTCTGTCTTCTTGTTCTTCTTATAATTGATAAATTACTGGAGAATAAGGTTATTTACTGATTTTCTGTCCTGCTGTTCTTGTAATTGATAAATTACTAGAGAAGAGTGTTAAAATCTCCAACTATTATAGTAAAATATCAATTTCCTGTTAAGTACTGTCAACTTTTGCTTCATACATTGTAAAGCTCTGTTACTAGGTGCATATACATTTTGGATTTGAATGTCTTCTTGAAAAGTTAATCTTTTTATTATCATAAAATGTTCATCCTTATCTTAGGCAACACTCTGTGCTACATTATACTTTGATATTAAGATACTCTCTTCAACATTCCTATGATGAGTATTTGCATGGTACACGTTTTTAATCTTTCTGCTTTTAACATATATATCTTCATATATAAAAAATCATTTTTAAAGTTGCTTTCTTGCAGATAGTATATTATAAGGTCTTTTTTTTCTCATTTCTTTTTTTTATTTTATTATTATTATACTTTAAGTTTTAGGGTACAAGTGCACAATGTGCAGGTTAGTTACATATGTACACATGTGCCATGCTGGTGTGCTGCACCCATTAACTCGTCATTTAGCATTAGGTATATCTCCTAAAGCTATCCCTCCCCCCTCTCCCCACCCCACAACAGTCCCCAGAGTGTGATGTTCCCCTTCCTGTGTCCATGTGTTCTCATTGTTCAATTCCCACCTATGAGTGAGAATATGCGGTGTTTGGTTTTTTGTTCTTGTGATAGTTTATTGAGAATGATGATTTCCAATTTCATCCATGTCCCTACAAAGGACATGAACTCATCATTTTTTATGGCTGCACTGTATTCCATGGTGTATATGTGCCACATTTTCTTAATCCAGTCTATCACTGTTGGACATTTGGGTTGGTTCCAATTCTTTGCTATTGTGAATAGTGCCACAATAAACATACGTGTGCATGTGTCTTTATAGCAGCATGATTTATAGTCCTTTGGGTATATAGCCAGTAATGGGATGGCTGGGTCAAATGGTATTTCTAGTTCTAGATCCCTGAGGAATCGCCACACTGACTTCCACAATGGTTGAACTAGTTTACAGTCCCACTAAGAGTGTAAAAGTGTTCCTGTTTCTCCACATCCTCTCCAGCACCTGTTGTTTCCTGACTTTTTAATGATTGCCATTCTAACTGGTGTGAGATGGTATCTCATTGTGGTTTTGATTTGCATTTCTCTGACGGCCAGTGATGGTGAGCATTTTTTCATGTGTTTTTTGGCTGCATAAATGTCTTCTTTTGAGAAGTGTCTGTTCATGTCCTTTGCCCACTTTTTGATGGGGTTGTTTGTATTTTTCTTGTAAATTTGTTGGAGTTCATTGTAGATTCTGGATATTAGCCCTTTGTCAGGTGAGTAGGTTGTGAAAATTTTCTCCCATTTTGTAGGTTGCCTGTTCAATCTGATGGTAGTTTCTTTTGCTGTGCAGAAGCTCTTTAGTTTAATTAGATCCCATTTGTCAATTCTGGCTTTTGTTGCCGTTGCTTTTGGTGTTTTCAACCTAGTCTGACAATGTTTTTCTTTGGTTTAGTTTGTGAATTTACATTTAATATAATTACCTGTGGTTGGGTTTAAGTCTAGCATTATAATATACATTTTCTGTCTATCCCATCAGTTTTCATATCTTTTTTCCTCTTGTCTTATTTTTATTAGTTTTTAGTATTTCATTTTAGTCTTATACTAGTTTATTTAATACAGCCTTTTGTTTTTTGTGCTATGTGTTTGATTATTTTAAAGTTTGCGATATGAATCTGACAATATTATGCTTACCGGTTCTCCTTCCTACCCTTTGTGCCATTCTTTTCATACACATTATTTCTACATACTTTACAAACCCTCTAACACATTATTATATTTTTTCTTTACAAAACAAGTGGAAATAGAAAATTTTAGAAATTAAAAACAGCAAATATACTTTATATGTACACATATATTTTAAAAAAACATTTCTTGCTCTTTTTTTGTGGAGTTTTAAAACAGTATTACATTTCCTGCAATCTAAATAATTTTCCTTAACATTTCTTGTGGTGTTTTCTCCTGCAGCAAATTATTTTAGCTAAAAATGTCTTTATTTTTAAAAGAATAAATGTATTTAATTTTTTGAAGAATATTTTCACTGGATACATAACTCCAAGTGAACTATTTAAGATTCTCCTTTTATTTTTGTTTTTCATCAATTAGTTTATGTTGTATCTTCCCACATTTTTCTTTGTTTTTACCCTGTTTATATTTCATTGAGCGTTGGAGATCTGTAGGGTTAAGTTTTACAACAATACAGATAATATATTTTTATACTCTTCAAAATATTTTTGTTCTATCCCTATCTTCTGAGACTAAACCTTGATATACGTTATGTAGCTAATTGTTCCATAAAGCAATACCTATAATTCCATTTTACTTCTCTTTATCTAGTATATTTTACAGTTTGTAATGCTCTATGTTCAAATTCATTGATCTTTTCTTCTGCAGTGTCTAATCCACTGTAAATCCAATCTAGTACATTTTTTCACTTTTTTTATTCTAAAACTTTCATAAAGATAACTTCTATTTCTCTCTTGATTATATTGATGTTTTCCTTTAAATGACTGTATTAGAGTTCTCCAGGGAAACAGAATCAACAAGAGATAGATTTATACATATATGTATTTATTATGGGAATTGGCTCACACAATTATAGAGGTTGAGAAGTCCCACAACATGCTGTCTTCAAACTGAAGAACCAGGAAAGCTTTTGATGTAATCCAGTCTGAGTCCAAAGAAGAACCTGGGGGATCTGAGGATGTAACTTTATTTGAAGTTGAAAGTTTGAGAAATTGGGGGCCACTGATGTAAGCCCTCAAGTCTAAAGGCCCAAGAAACTTTAGTTCTAATGTCTGATGGTAGGAGAAGACGGATGTCCCAGCTCCAGAAAAGAGTGCAAATTCAACCTTCTTTTTATTTTTTTTGAGAGATGGAGTCTCGCTCTGTCACCCAGGCTGGAGTACAGTGGCGCGATCTCGACTCACTGCAAGCTCCGCCCTCGGGATTCATGCCATTCTCCTGCCTCAGCACCCCCAGTAGCTGGGACTACAGGTGCCCGCCACCACGCTGGGCTAATTTTTTGTATTTTTAGTAGAGACAGAGTTTCATCGTGTTAGCCAGGATGGTCTCCATCTCCTGACTTGGTGATCTGCCCGCCTCGGCCTCCCAAATTGCTGGGATTACAGCGTGAACCACCGCCTCAGGCCTCTTTTTTCTTTATAAAAATTCTATCTGTGTCCTCAATGGATTAGATAATGTCCTCTCACACTGATGAGGGTAAATCTTCCTTACTCAATCTACTGATTCAAGTGACAATCTCTTCTAGAAACACTGTCACAGAGAAACCCAAAAATTATGCTTTATAAGCTATCTGGGTATCCCTGATTTCAATCAAGTTGACATCTAAAATTAACCATCACAATGACTAAACATATTAAGAGCTGCCACAAAATACTTTGTTTATTCCAACATTTCTGATATTTCTGGGAATGTTTTATTGACTGATTTATCTCCTGTTTATAGTCCATATATTCTTTTTGTTGTAGTTTCTTCACATTTCTACCAATTTTTATTAGAGGCTTCACATTATCAGGTCTCTGAATTTTGTTTTTGTCCTTTAATCATTGGCAAATTTTTTTCTGGCATGCAGCTAATTTATTTGTGGTTTAGTTTAATCCTTGTAAAACTTGTTTGTAATCTTTTTTAGGGTGAGTTAAAAATAGTCTTTATTTTAGAACTAGATTAACCCTACCCCTGTGACCTGGTCTTTTTTTCACTCTCTACTGAGTGAACCATGGTGTTCAAAGAGGTTTTATGTGGTTAACTGGAGTTTGAAGATTTCCCAACCCAGTTCAATATCTGGCTCTTTGTTGGTTTTCAGGTTTTCTGTTTTTTTTGTTCCTTCTCTACTAGTTTTTCTTAGTTTTTCCGCCCTGTACACTCATAGCTTGGTATTTGTTCATATATTCAATGAGATCCTAATGCAGATGTCTGGAAGTTGTTCTTTGTGTAACTCCTCTATTCCTGTTACTTGCCCTATAAATTTCAGTCACCTCAGCTTCACTGATCTCCCTCTCTGTCCTTTCAGCTCTATGAAACTTGTGATCATCTTGGATTTCTCCTATCTGGGTCAGTTTCTGATAAAAAAAAATTCCTGGAAAAACACTAGGATAATGGTTAACTTCACTGTTTTTTATTCTCTGAGGGATCACATTCCTGCAATGCCTGTTATCCAATATATGACAACAACTGTTCCATATATTTTATTCATTTTTTTTCATAGTCTACAATTGAGGCCTAATATGGTACAAACTACCCTGCCATGCTTATTAGTGGCAGTCCAAAATTGTTTTAATAGGGGAAAAATTAATCTGGTAACAATCCAAAGTCTGATAATAGAATAATGAATACATATGTTTTATATGTATACACATTAGATGATTATTTATTAGATAAAATAAATAAATTACAATTACCTTGAACACTATGGAGAAATCTTAAAAACAAAGATTGAAGAAAAAAAGCAAATCACAAATAACTACATATGTCATAATGCAATCTTAGCAATGTTAAAAAAAGAAGAAAAATAAAGAATGTATGTTAAAATATATATCTATGCATCATAACATAATTGTCTTAAATCACAAAGATTATGAACACATATTTCAGGCTGTTGGTTTCCTCTTGAGAGAATACAGGCAGATGGGATTGGAGAATATCATGCAGTGAGCTTCAAAATTATTGTTACTCTTGGTACTGTTTTAGTTCTCCAGTTGGTTGCTGGATTCATAATTGTTTTTTCTATTAATCAGATATTACATCAAAACAGTATAGACCAAAAGTGTTTGATGCACCCATTAACTCATCATTTAGCATTAGGTATATCTCCTAAAGCTATCCCTCCCCCCTCCCCCAACTCCACAACAGTCCCCAGAGTGTGATGTTCCCCTTCCTGTGTCCATGTGTTCTCATTGTTCAATTCCCACCTATGAGTGAGTTAATGGGTGCAGCACACCAGCATGGCCCATGTATACATATGTAACTAACCTGCACATTGTGCACATGTACCCTAACTTAAAGTATAATAATAATAAAATAAAATAAAAGATGTTAATAACAGGAAAAAAAGTGTTTGATGTCTTTCTTCATTGCTCAGGTGTTCTCAGAGATAACTGTCATCCTTTTTCAATTATCAATTTTGGTGGGCGAATAAATCTTATTTTAACATTTAAATTTCTTTTAAAATTCATTTTGTCATCATCAGACTTTATAATTACCATTTGTTTGTGTGATGGCATCTCTAGTAGATTTCTAGCAGAACTCTTTTTTTTTTTTTTAATAATAAATGTACATCTAAAAGAATTTAGGTAGTCAGTATGTGTTTTCCCACCGACCACTGGTTTCCAGTCTCATTTTGGAGAGAAAATGACTTCTTTTTGTCAGCCTTATATTTTTGCCAGTTGTTTATGCAAAAATAGTTAAAGCATTAGACAAGTCCCACTGAAAAGAAAACTTAATTCTTTCATATGAGGATAACTACTTCTTGTTATTACTTTCTTAAATCTAGATTTTTATATTTTCTCCATGGTAAAAGACAAAATTACTGACTTGGCCCTTTTTTTCTTCTATCTCTAATCTTTGGATCATTTCTACCTTAGTTTGTGTTTTGGAGCCCACAATGCGTAATTATAGTTGGCCCCTAATTATTTACCTAGAAACACACAACCTTAAACCATGGTGACTAAAGTTAAAATTACTATTGTCCATTTACCTAAATTCTTAATGTCTTAATTTTCTGTGGTATATCCATTGACTTCCTGGCTTCTGCCTAACCATTTTAAGCTACTTTATTTACTTGGCTGGAATAAAGTCTTAATTTCTTTACATCTTCTTGTACAATCACCTAGAGAAAGGAATCGAGAATGAATAGAAAAAAAAAAGTAATATGGAAGACAAGGCTTTGGGTTAGGGGTAAGTAGATACACGATGTGAGATTACAGGTGGCATGTTAAAAGACTTCTTGCAGTAGGAGAGAAAACTGCATTTTGATGGCCTGAGAAAAAAGGAGACCTAATAGTAAGAAAACAAAAACAAAAACCCTGAGGATTTCAGTAATGCGAGAGATTATGTAGTCAATTGTCAGGGTGAGCAGTCTCACTATGTTTATTAACTCCTCAGTATAACTTTTCTGAGTTCTCAGTATAGTATAATACAGGTCTCTGGACCTGTATTAAAAATGAAGATCAACGAAATGAAATAATCAACAGCGTGAACAGACAACCTGAAAAATGGGATAAAATATTTGCAAACTATGCATCTGACAGAGGGCTGATATCCAGAATATACAATGAACTTAAGTAAGTCAAAAACAACAAAAAATTCCAAAATAACAAAAAGTGAGTGAAGAATATGCATAGACATTTTTCAAAAAAAAAGACACAAAAATGGCCAAAAGCATATGAAAGATTAGTCAGCATCACTAGGCATCAGATCAATGCAAATTAAAACCACAATTGTATATTATCTTACTATAGTCAAAATGGCTATTAAAAAGAAAAAAAAAAGATGTTAGCAAAGTTGCAGAGAAAAGGGAATGCTTATACACAGTTGGTAGAAATGTAAATTAGCACATTCTCTATCGAAAACAGTTTGGAGTTTTCTCAAATAACTAAACATAGAAAGAACTACCATTCAATTCAGCAATTTCATTGCTGGGTATCTACCTACAGGAAAATAAATTACTATATTAAAAATATACCTGCACTCATATGTTTATCACGGGACTGTTGACAATAACAAAGATATGGAATCAACCTGAGTATCCATTAATGACTGACTGGAAATTAAAGAAAATGTTATATATACATATCACGTATATATATATATACATGATATGTAATATATATGTGTGTACATACACATGTACATGTAAGTCTATACGTGTGTGTGTGTGTGTGTATATATACACTGTGGAATAATAGACACCAGAGACTGGGAAGAGTGGGAGGGTGGGAGGGGGTGAGAAAGGTGAGGGATAAGAAATTACTTAACGGGCACAATGTACATTATTCAGGTGATGGTTACACTAAACACACTTCACCACTACACAATATATACATGTAACAAAACTGCACTTGTACCCCTTGAATTTATATAAAAATAAAAAACAAAGTGAATGCTGTAATAACTCAAGGAATTTATGACCTAATTAGAAATACAACAAACTGAATCAAATGATCCAAATACAGAAGGAGACAGTATTAAGAGAACATAGTCAAGAAGACTATTTATGTTAGACAGGAAGGTGAGGGAATGTAGCCCAGAAAAGATGACATGTGAGGTGAGCTTGAAGGATGAAGGCAATTTTTGCAGGAGGCAAAAAATGTTCCTGGCAGGAAAATCCATGTACATGAACACACAGAACAGTATGAGATAGCAAGGCAAATGAGTGGAACTTTACATAGTTTGGTATGCTAAAGCATGCAGGATGGGCATAAGAAAGCAACTGCAAGTTTATGGAAAGTGCAGGTTTTCCCTTCAAAAACAAAAATATCTTCAAATTATGAAAGTTTAATGCTGTTTATTTAAATTTTCCTTTCCTATGTCCTTAAGTCTCCTAAATTTTTTGCCTCCAAGTTATTTGGAGCTTTGGAATATAAAATTATTTGTAAAAATTGATAGAGTGGCTATAAACTTGTTTGGAAAGACTTCCAAACATAAGCTATTGTTAAATGAAATAGTGTTCTTGAGCCTGCTGGCAGTGCCAAGGTTTTACTGACATTATGAATATGCCATATGCATTTATATAGTACATAACAACTTAGGGAAAATGAAATAATTTTGCTGTTTTCAAATGGCTGATTTGAAATCAAGAATGATTCATTCATTTTCTTTTTGTAAGTGTTTAAGATTTAAAAAATATTTGAGAGCATAGTAAGATTTTAATTTGCTTAAAATTATGGTATTATCCAAAACAAATTTCTCTATAATAATAACCTGAGAGTAGAGTTATTGCTCACAAGCACAAACAAAGGACTGATTTTAGCTACACTAGAAGAATGAATGGAGATGTCAGTTTTGATGGAAAGGAAGAGCACAGTTCTGTTTTTCTCCTATTTTAGTTCTGTTGAAATTATATCTGTTCAACTACACATTTGATTTTCATCTACAATAAGCAATGCAACTTGAAGATATAGGAGGTTTTTTAAAGCTAATATCATACCGAGGATGATGCTATTCATTTGGCTCAAAAATATCTCTTAATAACAGGAGAAGACTATGTGAAGCCACACTGAAATTCTGACACAAGCTTTTTGTTATGCACCATCAAAGTGACAGGATAAAAAGTGCCTCCAAATGTAGTTCTTGAAAGTATGGAAAGTGTTGGATGAACTTTGGCCATTGTTGAAGTCATTAAAGGTATTTTTTAAAGATCATTTTTATACATATGATGAGGTAATGTGTAGAATCTGTCAAGGCAGAAGGAATACTTAGCTGTGAAGATTTAATGATTTCAAAAGAAAGTACTCCCCAACTGCAAATCACTATTCACAGACAAATTGTAGGTCTGTCTAATGGAGCTTCCTATTTTCCTTGCATAAGTCACAAGTGAGATATGAATTTTACATCTGATGTGAAAATATATACAGTTATGGCTCCTTTGTGACTTGCACAAAAAAAAGGAAACATTGTATATCTTTGATAGAAGCTGAAAGAACCAAGTTTTATAACTTTTCTCTAAGAAAGCACATAAAAAGCTATCATAAGAAAAGCTATTGAGACAAAGGCTTTTTTTTTCCTTTTATGATTCTGTATCTCAAAAAAAAAAAAGAGAGAGAACAAAACTAAACCACTAATGTGGGTGATTGCTACTATCTACATAATACACAAAAACTTTTGAAGGCAAAATTTTTCTTTGAAAAAGTCTGGAAACCTTCAGGGGCAGTGAGTGCAAAGCTTGGGCCCTTCTTGAGAGGAGAGTATATGAATCTCTCCCTTGAGGCAGGGGACCACATTGTCGCAGTCTCCAAATGATTAGAATAATTGGCCTTCAGGGATAATAAATTAACTGCATCTAACTTGAATATAAGCTTTAGATCTCTCTCCTTTCTGATTCTTGACTCAGAACGTGTGATTATGTATTAACTCAGGGCCTTCCCCTGGTATTAGTTCTGCTTAGGACTTCATGTGGTTCAGAATATATAGCATCACTTTTAATTATCTTAGGCAAAGAATCTAATTTAGGTAAAGAAGCTTGACAGTCTCTGTGACATTATGATCTGATATGGCCTTTATGTTTTTACCATTGTTTTTTAAAACAATTATAATCTTTTCTTTCATTAAAAATAAGTTATTTAGCACTGAAAGCAATAAATGCTGAGGTCAGCCTATGTCCCAACTATAGGCAATTGGCTGCCTTCCTTTCTCACATATCATTTTTGCCTAGGTGTTTCTTATCTTCCAAACCAGAGAAAATCCTTGTATCCAGCAAAATGGGGAGGACCCAGGAGAATCACATGCCAAAGCAGCCTTGCCAAGGAACAAGAGTAAGTTTGAAAGTAGCCAAGAGAAATTTCTGAAATAACGCCATGTATATTCATTTGTTCACTCAGCAATTATATATAAGGTACTTACTATGTTCTAGACTTTGTCGTAGACCTGGAGTTGACAATGGGGAGAGTGATAGAGGTGGAATTCATAGAATGACTTAAGTAATGACTTAAAGAATATTGGACATGATTTAGAGGAAGTATGGACATAGGCACAGCCAATCTAGTGTGGCAAGAGTCAGGAAATGTTTTTGTTCAGACTTGCATAATTGGTAGGAGTTATTTAGACAAGGAAGAGAGATAAAAAATATTCTAGGAAGAGTCAGTAGTCTATGCTAACTCCTGGAGCTGTGAGAGAAAAAGAGTGTATTTAAGATACTGAAAAGGGAGGAGCCAAGATGGCCGAATAGGAACAGCTCCAGTCTACAGCTCCTAGTGTGAGTGACGCAGAAGATGGGTGATTTCTGCATTTCCAACTGAGGTACCGGGTTCATCTCACTGGGGAGTGCCAGAGAGTAGGTGCAGGACAGTGGGTGCAGTGCACCGTGCATGAGCCAAAGCAGGGCGAGGAATCACCTCACTCGGGAAGCACAAGGGGTCAGGGAATTCCCTTTCCTAGTCAAAGAAAGGGGTGACAGACGGCACCTGGAAAATTGGATCACTCCCACCCTAAAACTGCGCTTTTCCAATGGGCTTAAAAAAATGGCACACCAGGAGATTATATCCCGCACTTGGCTAGGAGGGTCCTACGCCCACAGAGTCTCGCTCATTGCTAGCACAGCAGTCCAAGATCAAACTGCAAGGCGGCAGTGAGGCTGGGGGAGGGGCGCCCACCATTGATGAGTTAGTTGTTTGATTAGGTAAACAAAGCGGCCAGGAAGCTCCAACTGGGTGGAGCCCACCACAGCTCAAGGAGGCCTGCCTGCCTCTGTAGGCTCCACCTCTGGGGGCAGGGCACAGACAAACAAAAAGACAGCAGTAACCTCTGCAGACTTAAATGTACTTCTCTGACAGCTTTGAAGAGAGCAGTGCTTCTCCCAGCACGCAGCTTGAGATCTGAGAATGGGAAGAATGCCTCCTCAAGTGGGTCCATGACCCCCGAGTAGCCTAACTGGGAGGCACCCCCAAGTAGGGGCGGACTGACACCTCATACGGCCAGGTACTCTTCTGAGACAAAACTTCCAGAGGAACGATCAGGCAGCAGCATCTGCAGTTCTCCAATATCTGCTGTTCTGCAGCCATCACTGCTGATACCCAGGCAAACAGGGTCTGGAGTGGACCTCTAGCAAACTCCAACAGACCTGCAGCTGAAGGTCCTGTCTGTTAGAAGGAAAACTAACAAACAGAAAGGACATCCACACCAAAAACCCATCTGTACGTCACCATCATCAAAGACCAAAGGTAGATAAAACCACAAAGATGGGAAAAAAAAAGAGCAGAAAAACCAGAAACTCTAAAAATCAGAGTGCCTCTCCTCCTCCAAAGGAATGCAGCTCCTCACCAGCAACAGAACAAAGCTGGATGGAGAATGACTTTGACGAGTTGAGAGAAGACGGCTTCAGACAATCAAACTACTCCGAGCTACAGGAGGAAATTCGAACCAATGGCAAAGAAGTTGAAAGCTTTGAAAAAAAGTTAGATGAATGGATAACCAGGATAACCAATGCAGAGAAGTCCTTAAAGGACCTGATGGAGCTGAAAACCAAGGCATGAGAGCTACGTGACGAATGCAGAAGCCTCAGTAGCCAATGCCATCAACTGGAAGAAAGGGTATCAGTGATGGAAGACAAAATGAATGAAATGAAGCAAGAAGACAAGTTTAGAGAAAAAAGAACAAAAAGAAACAAACAAAGCCTCCAAGAAATATGGGACTATGTGAAAAGACCAAATCTATGTCTGATTAGTGTACCTGAAAGTGACGGGGAGAATGGAACCAAGGTGGAAAACACTCTGCAGGATACTACCCAGGAGAACTTCCCCAATCTAGCAAGGCAGGCCAACATTCAAATTCAGGAAATACAGAGAATGCCATAAAGATACTCCTCGAGAAGAGCAACTCCAAGACACATATTTGTCAGATTCACCAAAGTTGAAATGAAGGAAAAAATGTTAAGGGCAACCAGAGAGAAAGGTCGGGTTACCCTCAAAGGGAAGCCCATCAGACAAACAGCTGATCTCTGGGCAGAAACTCTACAAGCCAGAAGAGAGTGGGGGCCAATATTCAACATTCTTAAAGAAAAGAATTTTCAACCTAGAATTTCATATCCAGCCAAATTAAGCTTCATAAGTAAAGGAGAAATAAAATACTTTACAGACAAGCAAATGTGGAGAGATTTTGTCACTACCAGGCCTGCCCTAAAAGAGCTACTGAAGGAAGCACTAAACATGGAAAGGAACAACCGGAACCAGCCACTGCAAAAACATGCCAAGTTGTAAAGACCATCAAGGCTAGGAAGAAACTGCATCAACTAATGAGCAAAATAACCAGCTAACACCATAATGACAGGATCAAATTCACACATAACAATATTAACCTTAAATGTAAATGGGCTAAATGCTCCAATTAAAAGACACAGACTGGCAAATTGGATAAAGAGTCAAGACCCATCAGTGTGCTGTATTCAGGAAACCCACCTCACGTGCAGACACATACACAGGCTCAAAATAAAGGGATAGAGGAAGATGTATCAAGCAAATGGAAAACAAAAAAAGGCAGGGGTTGCAATCCTAGTCTCTGATAAAACAGACTTTAAACCAACAAAGATCAAAAGAGACAAAGAAGGCCATTACATAATGGTAAAGGGATCAATTAAACAAGAAGAGCTAACTATCCTAAATATATATGCACCCAATACAGGAGCACCCAGATTCATAAAGCAAGTCCTTAGTGACCTACAAAGAGACTTAGACTCCCACACAATAATAATGGGAGATTTTAACACCTCACTGTCAACATTAGACAGATCAACAAGACAGAAAGTTAACAAGGATACCCAGCAATTGAACTCAGCTCTGCACCAAGCAGACCTAACAGACATTTACAGAACTCTCCACCCCAAATCAACAGAATATACATTCTTTTCAACACCACACCACACCTATTCCAAAATTGACCACATAGTTGGAAGTAAAGCACTCCTCAGCAAATGTAAAAGAACAGAAATCATAACAAACTGTCTCTCAGACCATAGTGCAATCAAACTAGAACTCAGGATTAAGAAACTCACTCAAAACCGCTCAACTACATGGAAACTGAACAACCTGCTCCTGAATGACTACTGGGTACATAACGAAATGAAGGCAGAAATAAAGATGTTCTTTGAAACCAACGAGAACAAAGACACAACATACCAGAATCTCTGGGACACATTCAAAGTAGTGTGTAGAGGGAAATTTATAGCACTAAATGCCCACAAAAGAAAGCAGGAAAGATCTAAAATTGACACCCTAACATCACAATTAAAAGAACTAGAAAAGCAAGAGCAAACACATTCAAAAGCTAGCAGAAGGCAAGATATAACTAAGATCAGAGCAGAACTGAAGGAAATAGAGACACAAAAACCCTTCAAAAAATCAATGAATCCAGGAGCTGGTTTTTTGAAAAGATCAACAAAATTGATAGACCGCCAGCAAGACTAATAAAGAAAAAAAGAGAGAAGAATCAAATTGATGCAATAAAAAATGATAAAGGGGATATCACCACCGATCCCACAGATATACAAACTACCATCAGAGAATACTATAAACACCTCTACACAAATAAACTAGAAAATCTAGAAGAAATGGATAAATTCCTCAACACATACATCCTCCCAAGACTAAACCAGGAAGAAGTTGAATCTCTGAATAGACCAACAACAGGAGCTGAAATTGTGGCAATAATCAATAGTTTACCAAGCAAAAAGAGTCCAGGACCAGATGGATTCACAGCCGAATTCTACCAGAGGTACAAGGAGGAGCTGGTACCATTCCTTCTGAAACTATTCCAATCAATAGAAAAAGAGGGAATCCTCCCTAACTCATTTTATGAGGCCAGCATCATCCTGATACCAAACCCGGGCAGAGACACAACCAAAAAAGAGAATTTTAGACCAATATCCTTGATGAACATTGATGCAAAAATCCTCAATAAAATACTGGCAAACCAAATCCAGCAGCACATCAAAAAGCTTATCCACCAAGATCAAGTGGGCTTCATCCCTGGGATGCAAGGCTGGTTCAATATACACAAATCAATAAATGTAATCCAGCATATAAACAGAACCAAAGACAAAAACCACATGATTATCTCAATAGATGCAGAAAAGGCCTTTGACAAAATTCAACAACCTTCATGCTAAAAACTCTTAATAAATTAGGTATTGATGGAACGTATCTCAAAATAATAAAAGCTATCCATGACAAACCCACAGCCAATATCATAGTGAATGGGCAAAAACTGGAAGCATTCCCTTTGAAAACGGGCACAAGACAGGGATGCCCTCTCTCACCACTCCTATTCAACATAGTGTTGGAAGTTCTGGGCAGGGCAATCAGGCAGGAGAAGGGAATAAAGGGTCTTCAATTAGGAAAAGAGGAAGTCAAATTGTCCCTGTTTGCAGACGACATGAATGCACATCCAGAAAACCCCATCATCTCAGCCCAAAACCTCCTCAAGCTGATAAGCAACTTCAGCAAAGTCTCAGGATACAAAATCAATGTACAAAAATCACAAGCATTCTTCTACACCAATAACAGACAAACAGAGAGCCAAATCATGAGTGAACTCCCATTCACAATTGCTTCAAAGAGAATAAAATACCTAGGAATCCAACTTACAAGGGATGTGAAGGACCTCTTCAAGGAGAATGACAAACCACTGCTCAATGAAATAAAAGAGGATACAAACAAATGGAAGAACATTCCTTGCTCATGGGTAGGAAGAATCAATATCATGAAAATGGCCATACTGCCCAAGGTAATTTACAGATTCAATGCCATCCCCATCAAGCTACCAATGACTTTCTTCACAGAATTGGAAAAAACTACTTTGAAGTTCATATGGAACCAAAAAAGAGCCCGCATCGCCAAGTCAATCCTAAGCCAAAAGAACAAAGCTGGAGGCATCACGCTACCTGACTTCAAAATATACTACAAAGCTACAGTAACCAAAATAGCCTGGTACTGGTACCAAAACAGAGATATAGACCAATGGAACAGAACAGAGCCCTCAGAAATAATGCCGCATATCTACAGCTATCTGATCTTTGACAAACCTGACAAAAACAAGCAATGGGGAAAGGATTCCCTATTTAATAAATGGTGCTGGAAAAACTGGCTAGCCATATGTAGAAAGCTGAAACTGGATCCCTTCCTTACACCTTATACAAAAAATAATTCAAGATGGATTAAAGACTTAAATGTTAGAGCTGAAACCATAAAAACCCTAGAAGAAAACCTAGGCAATACCATTCATGACATAGGCATGGGCAAGGACTTCACGTCTCAAACACCAAAAGCAACGGCACCAAAAGCCAAAATTGACATATGGGATCTAATTAAACTAAAGAGCTTCTGCACAGCAAAAGAAACTACCATCAGAGTGAACAGGCAAACTACAGAATGGGAGAAAATTTTTGCAACCTACTCACCTGACAAAGGGCTAATATCCAGAATCTACAATGAACTCAAACAAATTTACAAGAAAAAAACAACCCCATCAAAAAGTGGGCAAAGGATATGAACAGACACTTCTCAAAAGAAGACATTTATGCAGCCAAAAAACACATGAAAAAATGCTCATCATCACTGGCCATCAGAGAAATGCAAATCAAAACCACAATGAGATACCATCTCACACCAGTTAGAATGGCGATCATTAAAAAGTCAGGAAACAACAGGTGCTGGAGAGGATGTGGAGAAATAGGAACACTTTTACACTGTTGGTGGGACTGTAAACTAGTTCAACCATTGTGGAAGTCAGTGTGGCGATTCCTCAGGGATCCAGAACTAGAAATACCATTTGACCCAGCCATCCCATTACTGGGTATATACCCAAAGGACTATAAATCATGCTGCTATAAAGACACATGCACACGTATGTTTATTGCGGCACTATTCACAATAGCAAAGACTTGGAACCAACCCAAATGTCCAACAATGATAGACTGGATTAAGAAAATGTGGCACATATACATCATGGAATACTATGCAGCCATAAAAAAATGATGAGTTCATGTCCTTTGTAGGGACATGGATGAAATTGGAAATCATCATTCTCAGTAAACTATCACAAGGACAAAAACCCAAACACACATGTTCTCACTCATAGGTGGGAATTGAACAATGGAACACATGGACACAGGAAGGGGAACATCACACATCGGGGACTGTTGTGGGGTGGGAGGAGTGGGGAGGGATAGCATTAGGAGGTATACCTCATGCTAAATGACGAGTTAATGGGTGCAGCACACCAACATGGCACATGGATCCATATGTAACAAACCTGCACGTTGCGCACATGTACCCTAAAACTTAAAGTATAATAATAAAATTTAAAAAAAAAGATACAGAAAGAAGTTTTGTATGGTTGTTGCTTCACTAGCACTATTTAGTGATGAGGCTGAAGAGGAAGACAAGGGTAAGTATGAAGTACTACAAAAATCAACCTGGACATATCCTGAAAGTTACTGAAAACGTTGAAGTGTTTTAAGCAGGTGAATGATGTTCATATTTGAGTTTATGACAGGGGTCATCAAACTTTTTCTTAAAGAAAGACACACTAAACATATAAGCTTGTGGACCAGATAGTCTCTATTGCAAGTACCTAAGGCTGCCATTGTAGAGTGAAAGCAACCACCAATAATACACAAGTAAATGGACATGGCTGTGCTCCAGTTAAACCTGTTTCGTGAAAACAGGTGACCAGTCCATGGTGCACAGTTTGTAAGACTTTGGTTTAGGACACTCTGTATGCAGCAAGAATAATGCACTGAAAATAAGCAAGGTTAGAGGTAGGAATACGAAGTAAAAGGCTGAGGAAGAAATCATGTAAATGATTACTCTGGTCTAGTTAAATTAATGGGGTTGTACTAAGTAGATGTTTAAGATATTTAAGATATAGAACTAACAAGACTTGATACTGGATAGAATATCAATGATGAAAAAGGAGATAGCAACTTTAGTTTCTTGGTTTGTGGCTTACACAGTTAGATAATAACAATGGAGAGTATTAATTGGACTTCTACCATGGGCCAGACCCCCTTTTAAAGTGTTTGGTATTTATAATCCATGGAATTAATTTTTATAACAAGTCTATGAAGCAGGAATTACCATTTCATCCAGCTTACACATGAGGTATACAGAAGTTAAAAACTTGAGAGTGAGCTCTGCTGAGATTTGAGAAATGTGATGTACAGATGCAAATGAGAAAGAGCCAGTAGAGAGGAGTGGCTGGAATTACTTGAATGGTTAACAGTAAGAGAGTACAGTCTCTAAAAAGCAGGAAGTAAGATACAGAATGAAGGTGGATTTGCATTAGAGATAGAAATGTCTTTTTTTTTCTTCTAAAAATGAGTTGAGGAAAGAAGGATGTGTATGGAGGGTGGGAAGTTTATAGATCTGAAGTTAGCAAGTGAAACAATCTTTTGTCCGAGACTTTCAATTATCTCTGGAAAGTAGCATCTGACCTTGCCTGTGGGAGCAGGAGGTGAAGGTGAGTGTCGCAATTAGCCACAATGAAGACAGAGAAGACTGGTGTGCAGCACTGAGGGCCTAAGTAAGGCTAGGGAAAATACAATTATAGTGAGACCATTCTGTAGCATTGTGTGCTTTCTTCAGTAGTGCTAAGCACCTTGAGTAGAGGCATATAGACAATGAAATATTTAGTGAGGATTTAAAGAGTGAATGTAATAAAAGAGCATTGTAGCAAGAGAGTTAAAGATGTTGGAGAGAATAAGCGATGGACCATGTACTGTAGTTCATGAAGGGTAAGAGGTGAAGACAGGGGTCCTAGTGAAAAGGGAGAAATTAGACATCATGGATTAAGAATACATAGACATGGGTGCAGACTGAAAGGGGTCACAAATAACAGTGAGATACTTGTAAAGATGAAAAGTCAAGGCCAGAAACCTTTATAATTGAGTTTATTAGTTCAGACGCAATGTAATTCTACATATGGATGTACCTCTGAACAATAAAATGTTTTTAAACAATCTCCCTTATTTTACTCTGTTTTATTTCCTGCCTCACTCTCACCTCTTATTGTAGTTTTCCAGGTTCTGCCAGAAAAGCTGATTAGTTTCCCGTGCTTCTCCCTAATTTGACGTTTATAGTTTGGAACACTGTAGTCTGCACGTCTGGGCTCATTACATTTTATTACTTTAAAAACTGTCTATATTCTGTCAAAAGTGGAGATGTTAAATTAAAAATTACATAGAAAAAGAGTCTTTCTTACAGAAATACCACAAAGTTTGTGACCATATTACCTCCCTATTTAATTTTCAACTTGTTTTCATCAGCACAGAGTTTTATAAAAGTATATAGTCTTTTATAATGTTGCAAATTAATAGACATTTTATTAAAACAAAAAACTAGGTAAAATTTTAAGAATTGTATTCTTCTATTAAAATAATGGAACTGAAGCTGGAAATCTACCAAAATCTTCATTCATTAAAAATTCTTATTTGTAGATTAGACTGGAAAAATGACATTCTTTTATACTGATTATACCTATTTTTATACTCAAAGACTATGTAGGAATAACATTACAAAATTCCTTTTTGGCAAAGTTACTTGTGAATTTCTTTCCCCCAAATGTGGGCAGCAATAAGAAAACAGATTGAGTGTTTAAAAACGACATTATGAGGCAAATAAATATCATCAACGATTGCATAACAAAGTCATAACAAAGTCATACAAGAATTATGTTTTGGTGCACTGGTATAAAATTCTGGCCAGAAAACATTGACAGTTAGTACTTTCTTAATACTCCTCAAACTTTTATTTTATATATATATATATCATTATTTTTTGCTAATTACATTCACAAATATATGTAAGAAGATACCACTTTTTGTCTCTAGAACATTTCAAGGCTTTTTAAATTTATAACTGTCTTTTTTGAATCACCTCCTGTTTTGGCTAGGATTGAAGAATAGGATTGAAATTGATAATAATATTTAAATATTCCATAGTGAAATAAACTATAATTCTTTAATGTAATAGAACAAAATCCACATTAATATAACTAAATACTACAGCAAAAAAAGCACTAGAACACTCAGATAACCTAATTTGCTGCATCTAATGATACTGTCATAGTGATACTCTCAGAATGACTGCCTTCTCAGAATCTTCATGGGCCAAATATATAAAAGTAAAGTTATATCTCTCACCTGCAGCCCCTGGGTTCCTGAAACATTGTTTCAAGTTGAATAGAGTATATGGTTAGGTGCATTAGAACTTTTATTGTGGGATCTGGCCAGCAGCCCACAATGCAACAGGGCTCTCTCCTTGTTCCTATGTGGATCGGCAGGTTGAGAAATAATAGACACACACAAGACAGTGAAAGCTGGGTCCAGGGGGGTCACCACCTTCTGGTCCCGTGGTGCCACCAATGCACTGGATATACCAGCATTTGTTATTAAGTTTAGTGAGGGCAGGGGTAGGTTAGTGAGGGATTTAGGATCATTTGATCATGAGGTGAGATGGTCATATGGGGATGAAGTAATTCTTTCACATAACACCTGTATGTAGAAGTACAGTATACAGAGATAAGAATTTACAATATAACATGTGCATCAGTAATTTCTAACAGAGCCTTAAAACAGAAACAGTCTTTCCATAACCTATGATTAGCAAGATATTAATCAGCAGTAACAGTTGCAGCAAAAGCTGGTTACAAAAAATCCATAGAAACAGGACGTGAAGCTAGACAACTGGTTAGACCAGAAATTCTCAGAAGGGAGTATACCTTAACCCTAAAGAGGCCTAGAAGAGCTGTGGCAAGATGAGGGCATTTATAGCCCTATCTTATCTGTATGGACAGGCGCCCCTCATGCATCCGTTTATAGGCTCTCCACAAGGGTCGCATTCCATTCCCAGATGTATGAACATCTGCTTTTCTGGGACAGGAATCTTGGTGATGTGAAACCTCCCTGACTGCACGTCCACTCATAGGCTCTCTGCAGGGGGAAGCACATCATGCGCTGTTGGCTCATTCTGGCAGTCCAACCTGGCATTGTCTTTACACAATCCCACATGCAACTTTGTATTTACAATAATCAGGAGCATTTCATCTTTTATTCCGTAGCAATAGTTTCGTGTGATATAGAAGTTCATGTGCTCATGGTTGACCCTATGAATTCTATCAAGTACCAGGAGAAAGTAAAATCTCCATTCTTCTGTTAAGAAGTTAGACACACATAATATTTGATGCTAGCAGCTGCTAGAGTTTTAAGTAAAGCTAGCACCTATAGACTGTGCAGTGGAAAGTGTAGGGGAGCAATGGTACTAAGATGGACATTCTAGACCCAGCCCTATGACATTATGGGAGACTTATGGCAGTTATTTAATATCTATTTAGACCTTAATTCACGAAAAAATTGTATTTGGGAAATGTGGTCTTCCAGCTCTAGATCCATCCCTGATTCTTAGATTCTATCACTATATAGGTATGATTAATTGAGCTTTAACATTGAGCTTTAACATGGTTACAGGATTTTATCTGATATATCATTTAATTTTCACAGAAGCCTAAGAAGTATGCTTTATCTTTTGTGTTTTATAAGTAAGTAAACTGAAAAAGACATTAAGTAAACTTCTAGCTAGAAAGAGAGAAAATATTTCTCTATGAAGTCATTATTCTTGTACATATTCAATGTACACATTCATGTACATCAGCCCTTTTGTTCTACAGGGTATACACCAAAGTCAAATAGAGACAAGCGGACAATGAGGCATACACAATACATGGCACACTTGTGACATTGGTTCACAATGGATTGTGCATATCTATGGCACAGCTTAACGGGGTCAGGTGGTAAAAATGCCATGTTAATGATATACTATTCTAATTAGGGGACATGGCTTTCACCTATTTTTAAGACAGAGACTTCTGCTGTCTACTACAGTCACTGCATTTATTTATTTAATATAGACAAGGTCTTGCTCTGCTGCCCAGGCTGCAGTGACTGAATAATAGCTCACTGCAGCCTCAAACTGCTGGGCTCAGACAATCCTCCATGCCTCAGCCTCCTGGGTAGCTGGAACTACAGATGCATTCCACTATAGCTAGTCTTTAATTTTTTTTTTTCTTTTTAGAGATGGGGTCTTTCTATATTGCCCAGGATGGTCTTGAACGCCAGGCCTCAAGTGATTCTCCTACTGCAGTCACCCAAAGTGCTGGGATTACAGGTGTAAGCCATGCCTGACCTACAGCCATGTTCTTTACTATTTGGTAAATGGTTAAAAAGAAACCACACTACAGTTCAAAGTAGAGCACAGAACAGTTTATGAATGCTGACATTTATTCAGTTTATATTTGTGGAGCACAGTGTTTTTAATGAATTTCCATTCAAGTAAAGCACAAGAACTAGCCTTAATACTCTACATTTTTAAATAGATGACAGAAGCATAGGTTAAAAAATTTAACAGACAGTATTGGTCATTATTTTGGTGTAAAGATAGAATGAGAGGGCTGTAAAGATTCATTCCCAATCTTTAACTGTTTAAAATTAAACTTAATTATTAAAAGATTTTTTAACTTAAAAAATCATTACAAAAGCTAGGGGTACGAATAGTCCATTAATCATTTCATGTAAGGGGTAGAATACTCCACAGTCAGTCTCAATTATGAAGGAATAGCAGACTCAAATTTACCTTTCAGTATAATTTATCTTGAATTATATTAATATCTGCATTCTATTAGCATGTTTTTTCTTTTTTTTTGAGATGGAGTCTCGCTGTTGCCCAGGCTGGAGTTCAGTGGCGCCATCTCGGCTCACTGCAAGCTCCACCTCCTGGGTTCACGCCATTCTCCTGCCTCAGCCTCCCGAGTAGCTGGGACTACAGGCGCCTGCCACCTCGCCCGGCTAATTTTTTTGTATTTTTAGTAGAGATGGGGTTTCACCGTCTTAGCCAGGATGGTCTCGATCTCCTGACCTCATGATCCACCCGCCTCAGCCTCCCAAAGTGCTGGGATTACAGGCGTGAGCCACCGCGCCCGGCCAATTAGCATGTTTTTAAATCGTCTTATTTAGTGATTTAAAGTCACTATGGCCTGTTTTAGGCAGAGAATATTTCAGTTGATATTATAACTAAAACCAGACTTTCTTAGACATGATTCAAGTTGTTTTGTTTTGTCATTTTTTTTTTTCTATATCTGAATCACATGTATGTTTTTCCAACAGCCGTTAAGGCAGAAAAACTAATGGTAGAGCAATATTTATTCTCTCTCTCTCTCTCTATCTTCTAACGTATTTGGCTCTTGGTCTTTAAGTTTTTAAATTTTGTGGCCTCCGGGCATTTTCTTAGTTAGGAATGCCAAATCTGATGCTAAAGAAATAGTACAAAATATTTTAAGTATTAACAGCAGCCAGAGTAAAATGTCACCCTAGACCTAGTAAGTAAAATCAGCTTTAGAAAATACTCTTTAAACTCACAGGAAAAAAAGAAAGGTTTGACCTGAAACAATGTTTGGGAAAGATAGAACTAACAAATTATTCCCAATATTTCATATCTATAGAAACATTTTTGTGGGTTCAGAGTTTCTTTGGATTACTAGGGCACATGACAATATATATTGTAAGCAGAAAGCCAAAGAGTGAATTTTCTACCATCTATTTTCAGTTGACACCATGAAAAGCTGAAGGGCAGCAGAGAGAGGTTTATAGAATGCAAGCATACTTGGATTAAGGAAAGCTTGAGAAATGGACTGTGTCTTGGATGGCGTTTCAGAAAGAAGGAGAATGTTAGAGGATAGGCAAATGCTTCATAAAGTAAACAATGCTCCCCAAATACTCTAGAAAACTAGGGTGAAATAATAAATTAACATATGAATGACAGGTCTTCATGTATTGAGTCTCTTGGAGAAATCTAATAGTAACTCTATGATGTAGGAATTGTTATTCCTACTTTCCTAATTTTGAAAATGCAGTTCAGAGAGGATAATTTATTTGGTGTCATAGAGGTGGCAGATAATTGAACTGATATTTGAAATTAGGTACTTTAAACCTTTATTTTTCTCTTGTCACTTGGCACTGAAAAATGTAACCTATTCAACTACAGAAGAGTTATAGTCCTTGTGAATTTTATCCAGCAGATTTTTTTTTTAAGGAATGGTAGGTTAAATTAGTACTTTACTGTAGCTTTTTACTGTTTCTGTTTTAAACTCTTTCTGAGAAAGGATTCTGTCAAAGAATCACTCTATTACCTTTCAGTTGCTGTTTTTTTTCCCATAATTTATTCAAATAAGGACAGGTAAAATATGCAATATTCCAAATGCAGGTAACTTTATTTCTATTCTCTTGGTTAGATAAAGACATTTAGAGCAGGTTTGGGTCAACTTCTATCTTTCATTCACTTTTTACTGAGTAAATAAAAATGAGAAAAATTAGCTAAATACTACACAAAATACATGAAAGAATAGTCGCAAAATATTAGGCATCAGCATATAAAGGACAGTAATCCTTGAAGTATGTTAAATTAACATGCCAAATCATACAACTGCCCAAGCTTGCTCCCTGGACAAAGTTTTCACTCTACAGCATAGCAAGGGAGACTTAGGCAAAGCTCAGCTGTCTTTCTGAGTTGAAAAGACAGATCTGGGAGTCTGGAGAAACTAAAGCAACTAGAATTCACAGTAAACGAGAGAGGACAGCTGTGCAGAGAAAGAGTGTTAGAGATCTACAGGACATCCCTCATGAGTATTCAATTCAGTAATGACTAGTGCATCCATATGGAAAAACTATTTTAAAATAGGAAAGGACACACTGAAAGGATTAGAAGGACCAGTGCTCAGAATTTATACAGGCCAGGAATAGTTCCTAACCTAACATCCATGTGGAAAATATCATAATTAGGGAGGCATTTGTTCGAGTACTAAGAAAGGTCTTAACCTTAACAGTGGGGAAAAATTAAGCCAATACTAAATGCTGCTCAGTTCCTATCTGAAAAAGCATAAATATAGGAACTGAAAGAATAAAATGTTTCTGAGTAATTTAACCATATCTCAGAACAAAGATCAAGAATACAAAAATGCTCAATTTCCAACAAGGTAAAATTCAAATTTCTGACATCTAATACAAATTTTCAGGTATGCAAAGAATCAGGAAAATGTAACTCATAATGAGGAAGAAAACAAACAATTGACCAAAACATAAAAATGACACATATGATGGAGTTAGTAAACAAGAACATTAAAACAGTTATTATAACTACATTTCATGTGTTCAAAACCTAGAGAAAATACTTAACATGTTAAGTACAACTATGGAAGAGATTTTTTTTTTAAATCCAAATCAGAATTTTAGAGATAAAAACTTCAATGTCTGGGAACAAAATCAAGATGATCTTGGTTTTGATAATGACATTTTAGATACACTATCAAAGGCATAATCCATGAAAAAACAAATTGATATGTTGGACTTCATTAAAATTAAAATTTTATGCTTCGTAAAAGACACTGTCAAGAGAATAAAAAGACAAGCCACAAACTAAGTGAAAATATTTGCAAAGACATCTGATAAAAGACTACTATCCAAAATATAAAAGGGACTCTTAAAACTAAACAATAAGAAAACAATCTGACTAAAAAAATGGGCCAAAAACCTTAAAGAGACCTCAGTAAAGAATATACACAAATGGCAGATAGGCATATGAAAACATGCCCCAAATGACAGATTATGAGTGACATGCAAATTAAAATAACAATGAAACACTACTACACAGCCTTTATGTCAAAATTCAGAACATGGACAACACCAAATGCTGGCAAGGAATAGAACAAGAAGAACTCTCATTCATTGCTGGTGAAAATGCAAAATAGTACAGTCATTTTGGAAATCAGTTTGCCAGTTTCTTACAAAAGTAAACATACTATAACCATACAATCTAGTAATTGCTGTCTGTATTAGTCCATTCTCACAGTGCTATAAAGAACTTCCTGAGACTAGGCAATTTATAAAGGAAAGTGGTTTAATTGACTCAAAGCTGGGGAGGTTTCAGGAAACTTACTATCTTGGTGGAAAGTGAAGAAGAAGCAAGGCATCTTCTTCACCAGGCGTCAGGAAGAAGAAGTGTGGAGCAAAGTGGGAAGAGCCCCTTATAAAACCCTCAGATCTCATAAGAACTTACTCACTATCATGAGAACGGCATGAAGGAAATGGTCCTCAATGATTCAGTTACCTTCACCAGGTCTCTCCCTTGACACATGGGGATTAAGGGGATTACAATTAAAGAGGAGATTTGGGTGGGGACACAAACCCTAAACATATCATTCTTCCCCTAGCCCCAAACAAATCTCATATCCCTTTCACATTTCAAAAGCAGTCATGCCTTCACAACAGTCCCCCAAATTCTTAATTAATTCTACCATTAACCCAAAAGTCCAAGTCCAAAGTCTCATCTGAGACACGACAAGTCCCTTCTACAAATGAGCCTGTAAAATCAAAAGCAAGTTAGTTACTTCCTAAATATAATGGGGATACAGGCATTGGGTAAACAAATCCATTTCAAATGGGAGAAATTGGCTGAAACAATGGGGCTACAGGCACCATACAAGTCCAAAATCCAGTGAGGCAGTCAAATCTTAAAGCTCTGAAATGATCTCCTTTGACTCTGTATCTCACTTCCAGGTCATGCTGAAGCAAAAGGTGGGTTCCCATGGTGTTGGGCAGCTTCACCCCTGTGGCTTGGCAGGGTACAGTCCCCCTCCCAGTTGTTTTCATGGGCTGGCATTGAGTGTCTGCAGCTTTTCCAGGCTCATGGTGGAAGCTGTCAGTGGATCTATCATTCTGGGGTCTAGAGGACAGTGAACCGCTTCTCACAGCTACAGTAGGCAGTGCCCCAGTGGGGACTCTGCAGGGGGTGTCTCCAACCCAACAGTTCCCTTCTGCACTGCACCAGCATAGGTTCTCCATGAAAGCTCAAGCCCTGCAGCACACCTCTGCCTGGACATCTAGGCATTTTCATAAATCCTCTGAAATCTAGGCAGAGATTCCCAAACCTCAATTCTTCACTTCTGTGTACCTGCAGGCCCAAAACCATGTGTAAGCCACCAAGGCTTGGGGTTTGCACCCTCTGAAACAATGATCTGAGCTGTATTTTGGCCTCTTTCAGCCACAGCTGGGATGCAGGGCACCAAGTCCTAAGACAGCACAAAGCAGCATGGCTCTGGGCCCAGCCCACAAAACCATTTTCCTCCTCCAAGGCCTCCAGGCCTTAGATGGGAAGGGTTGCAGTGAAGACCTCTGACATGCCCTGGAGACATTTTCCCCATTGTCTTGGTGATTAACATTTGGCTTCCCATTAGCTATAAAAGTTTTTGCAGCCTGCTTGAATTTCCCCTCAGAAAATGGGTCTTTCTTTTCTATCGCATTGTCAGGCTGCAAATTTTCCAAACTTTTAGGTTCTGTTTCCCTTTTAAACATAAGTTCCAATTCCAAACCATCTATTTGTGAAGGCATAAAACTGAATGTTTTTCAGAGCACCCAAGTCACCTCTTGAACATTGTGCTGCTTAGAAATTTCTTCTGCCAGACACTCTAAAACATCTCTCTCAGGTTCAAAGTTCCACAGATCTCTAGGGCAGGGACAAAATGCCACTAGTCTCTTTGCTAAAGCATTTGCAAGCATCACCTTTATTCCAGTCACCAACAAGTTCCTCATCTCCATCTGAGACCACCTCAGCCTGGACTTCATCGTCCATATCACTATCAGCATTTTCGTCAAAGCCATTCAATAAGTCTCTGGGAAGTTCAAAACTTTCCCACATCTCCCTGTCTTCTCCTGAGCCCTCCAAACTGTTCCAACCTCTGCCTGTTACCCAGTTCCAAAGTTGCTTCCACATTTTTGGGTATCATTATAGCAGTGCCCCACTCCCAGTACCAATTTGTTGTATTAGTTCTCATACAGCTATGAAGAACTGCCTGAGACTGGGTAATTTATAAAGGAAAGAGGTTTAATTGACTCATAGTTCCACATGGCTGGGGAGGCCTCAGGAAACTTACAATCATGGGGGAAGGTGAAAGGGAAGCAAGGCACCTTTTTCACAAGGTGGCAGGAAAGAGAAGTGCCTAGCAAAGGGGAAAGCGACCCTTACAAAACCATCAGATCTCATGAGAACTCACTCACTATCATGAGAACAGCATGAAGGAAACTGCCTTCATGATTCAGTTACCTCCACCTGGTCTCTCCCTTGACATGTGGAGTTTATAGGAATTACAGGGATTACAATTCAAGATGAGATTTGGGTGGGGATAAAAAGCCTAGCTGTATCACCCTCCTTGGTATATAACAAAAGGAGTTGAAAACTTATATCGACACAAAACCATGCACATGGATATTTACAGCAGCTTTATTCATAAGTACCAAAATTTGGAAGCAGCTAAGAGTCCTTTAGTAGCTGAATAGATAAATGAACTGTGGTATATCCAGACAGTGGAACAACATGAAGTATTAAAAAAAAAATTAGCTATCAAGCCATGAAAAGACATGGAGAAAACTTAAGTGTGCATTACTAAATTTAAAAAGGCCAACCTGAAAAGGCAACATATTTTATGGTTTCAGTCATATGATATTCTGGAAGAGGTAAAACTGGAGACAGTGTAAAAATCAGTGGTTGCCAGAGGTTAGGGATAACAGAGAGATGGGTAGATGGAACCCAGAAGATTTGTAGGGATTTTGAAACTACTCTGTATGATACTGTAATGGTAGATATATGTTGTTATACATTTATTCAAATCCATAGAATTTAGAACACTAAAAGAAAACTCTAATGCAAATTATGGTCTGTGTGTGATAATAATATGTCACTGTAGGTGTCTCAGTTGTAAAAAATGTACCATCCTGGTAGATGATGATAACAGAGGAGACTGAGAATGTGTAGGGGCAGACAGGATATAGGAAATGTCTGCACTTTTGCTCACTTTTGCGGTCAGCCTAAAACTGCTCTAAACAATAAAGTTCTTTTTAAAAAAATCCTGAAAAAATCAAAATTTCACTGTCTGATAAAACACACTGGAGGTGATTAACAGAAGATCAAATATTGCGAAAGAAAATTAGTAAATTTGAGGATACAGCAATAGAATCTATCAAAAGGTGAAACATACAAAGACAAAAGAAAAGCGATGAAAAATGATCACAGCATCGTTGAACAGTGGGTAATTTCAAACAGACTATTATATGTGTAATTGTAGCTTCCAAATTAAAAGGAGCAGGAGAATAGAAAAACTTCCTTGAAAAAACAATGGTCAAAAATTTTGGCTCCCAGAAGCTCAATGTACCACAAGCACAAGAAACATGAAGAAAACTAAATTAGGTACACTATAATAAAATTCCATAAAACTTATTATAAAGAGATAATCTTGAAAGCAGTCAGAGAAAAAAAACCACATTATATACTCAGGAACAGATATAAGAGTAACAGCTGAATTCTTGTCAAAAATTATACAAGTTAGAAAATAGTAGAGAAACATATCTGAAGTACTGAAGGAAGAAGATATTGGTCTGTAATTCTTTAATCAGTGATAATATGTTTTAAAAACAAAAGTGAAATAAAGACATTCCTTAGGCATACAAAAGTTGAAATAATTCATAATTATTAGGCCTACCTACAATTATGTTGGAGGAACAGGCCGAAAGAAAATAACGCCAGATTAAACCAGTTATCTAAACAAAGAATTTGAAAGCATTGAAAATGGTAACTACATGGACAAATATAAATTAATGTTCTCATTATTTATATCTCTTTGAAAGATTAACCAGCTGTTTAAAGTCAAACAAATAGTATCATTGTACTATGGGCTTTATAATATGTGGAGAAGTAATACTATCTAACTAAAGAGATAAAATAGAATAAAATACACCATTAACACAAAAGAAGGTAGAATAAAGAATAGAATGTACAAAGAACATAGGGGACAGATAGAAAGCAAATAGCAGGATGCTAGATTTAAACACACCATGTCAATAACTACTTTAAGAGGAAGATACTGTTATGTTGGTTTAAAAAGTAAGACCCAACTACATACTGCCTAAAAGAAATCTATTTTAAATATGAAAACTCAAAACGGTTTAAAAGTAATAGCAGGTTAAATAATACACCTTGCAAATAATGCTGTGATGGTTAATATTAAGTGTCAACTTGATTAAATGGAAGAATGCAAAGTATTGTTTCTGGGTGTATCTGGGTGTTTCTGGGTGTTGCCAGAAGAGATTAACATTTGAGTCAGTGGACTGGGAGAGGAAGACCCACCCTCAGGAAGACCTACCCACAATGTGGTGGGCACCATCCAATCAGCTGCCAGTGAGGCTGGAAAAAGCAGGGAGAAGAAGGTAGAAGAAAAAGCTGTCTTGCTGAGTCCTCCAACCTTCATCTTTCTCCTGTGCTGGTTGCTTCCTGCCCTCAAACATCAGACTCCAAGTTCTTTGGCTTTTTAACTCTTGTTCCTACACGAGTGGTTTGCCAGGGGCTCTTGGGCCTTTGGCCACACACTAAAGGCTGCACTGTCAGCTTCCCTACATTTGCTGCTTTGGGACTTGGACTGGTTTCCTTGTTCCTCAACTTGCAGATGGCCTACTGTGGGACTTCACCTTGTGATCATGTGAGTGATTTCTGCTTAATAAACACTCTTTCATATATACATACATCCTATTAGTTCTGTCCCTCAAAGAGAAAGCTGAAGTATCTGTATTAATATCAGACAAAGTTGATTTTAGAGCAAAAAATATTATCATGTATAAACAGGAATATTTTATAGTGGTAAAGGAGACAATTTATCGAGAAGCATAAACATCCTAAAGTATGTACACTATATAATAGAGATTCAAAATATATGGGGCAAAAGTGATAGAAATGCAAGGAGAATCAGACAGATCTACAAATATATTAGAAAATTTCAACTCTTTTCTGTATAACTTACAGAAGAACTAGACAGAAATCAATAAAGATATAGAAGATTTGAGCAACACATTCAACCAACTTAAGCTATTTGACATTTGTAGACTAGTCCACTCACTAACAGCAGTATGTAAATTCCCATGTGCACATAAGTCATTTACCAAAATACAACAAATTCTTTGTCATAAGACAAGTCTCAATACATTTAAAGAGTTTAAATCACAAAAAGTGTGTTATTTGACCATAATGTAATTAAAATGGAAATTAATAACAGAAAGACAGAGAAATGCTAAAATATTTGGAAGCTAAATAACATACTCATAAATAACTAAATTTTAAAAAAATTCATAAAATAAATTAGAAATCATAGAACTGGAATTTTGATAGGGACTGCATTGAATTCGTAAATTGCTTTGGGCAGTACGGACATTTTAACAATATTAATTCTTTCAATCCATGAACAGAGGGTATCTTTCTATTTATTTTTTTCTTCTTCAATTTCTCTCATCAATATTTTATAGTTTTCAGTGTACAAACCTTTAACCTCCATGGTTATATTTATTGCTAAGTATTTTATCTTTTTGATGCTATTGTAAATGGATTTATTTTTAATTTCTTCAGATACTTTGTTGTTAGTGTACAGAAACACCATTCATTTTTGTCTGTTGATTTTGTATTCTGCGATTTACTGAATTTGTTTATTGGTTCTAATAGCTTTTTGTTGGACTCTTTAATGTTTTCTGCATATAAGATTATGTCATCTGCAAACAGAGATAATTCATATGAAACCATAAAAGATCTTCAATAGCCAATGCAAGCTTGAGCAAAAAGAACAAACTGGGTGCATTATACTTCCTGATCTCAGAATCTACCACAAAGTTATAACAATCAAAACAGCATGGTACTGGCACAGAAACAGACATATAGGCATATGGAAGAGAATTGAGAATCAAAAAACGAGTTGACACATCTACAGTTAACTGTTATTTGACAAAGGTGCTAACAACACACCATGAGGAAAGGACAGTCTTTAATAAATGGTGTAGGAAATACTAGATATTCACTTGCAGGTGAATAAAATAGGGCCTTTGTCTCACCCCATATACAAATATCACCTTTCAATGGATTAAAGACTTAAATGTAAGACCTAAAACTGTAAAACTGCTGAAAGAAAACAGAGGAAAAAGCTTCTTGATTGTTCCTTGTAAAGATTTTTGAATATGACTCTAAAATCACAGGGAACAAAGCAAATATGAACAAATGAGATCAAATCAAACCAAAAAGCTTCTGCCTGATAAAACAAACAATCAACAGAGTGAAAAGGACAACCTATGAGATGGGAGAAAATATTTGCAAATCATATATATGATAAAGATTTAATATCCAAAACATATAAGAAACTTAGTAGCAATAAAACAAATAACTTCATGAGAAAATGAGCCAAGGATTGAATAGACAGTTCTCAAAAAAAGAGGTACAAATGGTCAACAGGTATATGAAACCACAATGTGGTATCACCTCACATGTCTTAGAATGACTTTTACAAAAAGACAAAAGATAACAAGTATTGGCGAGGACGTGGAGAAAACGGAACCCTTATAAATTGGTGGTGGACATGTAAATTGGTATAGCCTTCATGGAAAAGATTATAAAGATTTCTCAAAAACTAAAAATAAAACCACTATATGATCCAACAATTCTACTTCTGAGTATATATCCAAAAGAATTGAAATCAGCATTTTAAAGATATCTGCATTCCTGTTTTGGCAGCATATATTTATAACAGCCAAGATACGCAATCAGCTTAAGAGTCCATCAACAAATAAACAGATAAAAGTAGGTGATATATATACATAATGGAATATTATTCACCCTTGAAAAAGAAGGAAATCCTGTCATTTGTAACAACATGGATGAACCTGGAGGACATTCTGCTAAGCGAAATAAGCCAGACATAGAAACGCGAATATTGCATGATCTCATTTATATGTGGAATTTAAAAATGTCAAACTCATATAAGTGGAGAGTAGAATGGTGATGACCAAGTTTGATATTCATTGAAAATAATGAACTTTGATCCATACCTGTATCATACAAAAATTAATTCAAAATACAGCAGAGACTTAAATGGAAAACATAAAACTATAAAACTTTTAGGAGAAAATGTAGGAGAAAACCTTTTGCCCTTGGTTTAGGCAAATATATCTTAGCTATGGCACTAAAATCTCAATCCCCACAAAAAATTGAAAATTTGGACTTCATCAAAATTTAAAACTTGTACCTTTTGAGACACACTAGTAAGGCAATAAAAAGACAGTCCCAGAGTGGGAGAAAATATTTGCGAATCACATATATGATAAAGGACTTGTTTCCAGAATTTTAAACAACTCTCACGCAAAATTTAATAATAAAAATATCAACATCTCAGGCAAAAATATTGGCAAGCTATTAACTAAAGAAATATGCAGTTATCAAATAAGCACATAACACAGTCAATATCATTAGTCACTGGGGAATCCAACATAAAATGTGACACCACTACATGCATATTAAATGGCATAATTACAGATTAACCAAGTTTTGGCAAAGACGTGGAGGTACTTGGACTCTCCAACACTGCTGCTAATAATAATGCAAAATAGTACAACTACTTTGAAAAATTGTTTAGCAATATTTTCAATAGCTACACATACTCCTACCATATCGTTTAGCCATTCCACTCATAAGTATTTATCTAAGAAAAACTTTCAATGCTTATGTGCATATAAAGACTTCTAAACAAATGTTCATGGAAGATTTATGGTAATAGCTGAAACATGGAATCCAAATGTCTATCAACAGGTGCACAGATGCACGCATGGTGGTAGAGCCATAAAATGGAACACTACTGTGCAATATAAAGGAATGATCTATTGACACATTCAACAACTTGTATGAATCTTAAGATAATAATTCTAAATGAAAAAAGGCAAACTCTCCCACTCTCGGTCAAAAGAGTAGATATTGTATGATTTCAGTTATGCATGACTAGAAAAGGTAACGTAGTCTATAGTGACAAAACATACAGGATCAGTTTCCTGGGGTTGAGGATGCGTGGATGGGAAGGAGGAAGAGATTATAAGTGTACATGTAGAAATGTTAATAGGTAGGTACTGGATATGCTTATTATGTGGATTGTGCGATGGTTTCATGGTAAAAATACGTATGTTAAAATGTGTTAAATTCTACAGTTTAAACATTTTATTGTGTTCCAATTATATGGCAATAAAGCTTTTAAAAAGATGCCTGAAGAAATACTTTAGCAGTACAGTTAATTTACTTAATTGTACTTTTGACTTAATATATTGTGTTTTCTCTACACATTTAAGTCACGGAAAATGTATTAGAATATTTGTTATTTCTATTATACCCATTTTACCCCCCCAAACAAAAGTCAAACAATAACCAAATGGTCTAACCACCTGATGCACAATCTCTTTCAGTCTTTGTCTATTCTATTTTCTTTTATTTGTAACACATAGTCAATAAAACCCACAGACTAAAGATAATGCAGGCAGTGCAGGCAGAGGGATTCTCCTGGACTAGCTTCCTTTGTATTTCAACCCTTCTTTCCAAAAAGTGTTTGTGTGTGAAATCCCATAGATGGCATGGTTGGAGTAACAAACACTGTTGACGCTACAATAACTCTTGATGATTTTATAAAATGAAAATATGTAGTCAACAATCATTTATTCTAAAATCTTTCCAGTACTATGAGAGATCTTTTGTTTATTAACTCAGATTTTAAATATTAAACTGCACATAGATGGAGGAAGTACATGTCATCACTCAGGTTCTAATTTAATTGATCCCTAAGTTAGTGTTTATATATGCCAATTTTAGTCTATCTTACTCTAGTTTATCACATTCAAGATACAGTCTTTGACTGTAAGACACACCACTACTTTAAGACACACCACTATCTCTAAGAAAGAAAACACTGCCAATTAAACTACAACACAACATTGAGTGCAATATACATCTGGATTTCAGAGATATTAAAATGCAAAAAAAGTATGCATTGGGTCTACTAAATCTATGCTTTCTCTCAACAGAATGTGGCTAAATGTAATGGAATGACATGAAGTGGAGGCTTGAAGATATTCTTCCTCTGTGTGTCTGTACGGGAAATACTGATGTGTGTTCTTCTTTTGGAAATGTTGTGAAGGCTGCATTTCTCTGTAGGGATATATAAAACAAGTGACCTGATTTCATAATGTACCTTTCTTTGAGAAAAAGGCCATAAATAAAACATTCTCAAAGTTGTAATGTAGATTGATTCAACCTCCCAAAGAAAAGAAAAGTGGGAATAAAAATGATCAAAAGTACTTATCATTTAGCTTTGGTACCATAAAGCAGCAGCAGACATATGTTCTCATCGACTATCTTTTTAAAATCTATTGGCTATTAATGAGAATTATGTTTTTCAGACCAAAAATCATCCTTATAAAGCTTTGACATGGAACCTGTTCTGCACCATTTAACTACCAACAAAACCAGTGACCGGTCACACAAGGTAGGTGCTGCTACATTACATTGTAAATTAAAAAACAAAGAAAAAACAGGGTGGTAGATGTTGAGTTTATGTCTCGGCATATTCATTCTCAATAGTCTTTCTGTGGATTTAACCACTCACACACACACATGTGCATACATAAACATGCTTACATGTTTCACTTATGCAAGAAATATATTAAATCTAATTGTAGCAAATGCCACCATGTACATACGGCTCTACCATCAAAAATCAAGCAAACAGCCTGGGACAATGGATGTAAAAAGCACCAAATCAAAAAATAATGAAAACCTTTATTTCACTGTCATATAAAGTAGAAAATGCCTAGATATAATGAAGATTCATGAATAATCTAAGGCAACGAAGAATGAGCTATAAGACAATTCAGAACCACACTGATTATACATTGCACATGTATAATCATTTATTTAATTGCATATTTAAATAGTATATTTACAAAATAAAAGTAAAGAATATGAAGTTGCAATATTTTAACTTTACAGCAAATTGCTTTACAATAAAATTATTACAGAGATAGATAAAACTTATGTTACTTGTATGATATGGGCATAGGAGATGTTTTTGAAAAATGTAATTCAGATAACAGCCTTTCCCTGTAATTTCACCCTCCCTTCTCCCGTATCTATGGCATTTGTTTTCAAGTTGTATGATGCACTGAGAGGGATATTCCAAAGGTAAACATAGACTTTTGTCTCTGATTACTTATTTGGTGAGAACATAAATAAATTGTATATATGGTCTTCTGTGTTCTGCCTGTTAAAAGCATCAGAGACATAAGAGAAAGTTTTCTCATATTACAACTCTCTGGCAAGGGATACTAAAAACAAATAAATATGATGTATCACGTACATGTCAGAATAAATTCTGAATTGGGAAGAACAAGAATGAACTAGAATGAATGGAATTAAGTATTTGTAGAAATATTTCTGACATCATATAATTATAATTCTAGATTAGAAACTATAAGTATGTGCCTAACAAGGATAGGATTCCTATTGAATAATCTAAAGGAAATCATCAACACCTTATGTAATTAATTTTAAAAAAAGCCTATGCTTTTGGAAATTTTAATATAGGGTCATGAAACTAATACTAAAAAATTTTATCATGTAAAATATTTGTATTGTTTTTTAAAATTAAGTGTCTTGAAAAAGTACAGAATAATAACAATCACAACAATAAAATTAGTTTTTCCGTACCACCACCCAGAGAAGAGATGCTTGTAATCTTGCTGATGTGTGCTAAATATACAAGAATATTTTGAGAAAAGAACTGCAATCCATGAATTTGCAGTACCTTGTTAGTTACAGACCACAGGGAAGTGTGTGCACTTTGCTCTTACTCTGTGCTTATAGGCCACCAGATTTTTAATTAGTCCTGTTTCCACTGAGGGCATTTCTTACATGAATGGGCCACCAGTGATGGTTATTAGCAAGTTATCACAGTTTGTTTTTCATTAGAGTGACTTTGGTAAGGCAACTCAACATGCTAGAACCCAAGTAGAAAAATTGTTTCTGAAATTTGGGCATACCAGCACAGATATTACTGCATAACACCCTACTAGGATGATGCCATAATTTGAGATAGAGACTAAGACGGACTGAGCTTTTATTTTTACAATCTAAATGCCTAGACATGTTTAGTCTCAGGCTTATACGTTTTTTAATATATTGGTTTATTCGTGCTTCCCCTTGAGTACATATATATACCTATTACATTGATAAATGACTTAATTCAGTTAACAAATGTTCATTATGCACCAAGTCAGTGGTAATCAATTTAAGAGACATTTATGGTAATCAAACAGATGATGATAAAAAGGAAGAAAGAGTCAAAGATATTTAAAATTTTATACCTTTGGAAAACGCCTAAATGGTCACCCGTAGTGATAATAAAAACTCCTTATGTAGGCTGATGATGGGTGAGTGTGGAGAGTTGTGCTTGGTTTGGAGTTCTAGAAACCCAGCCTGATCCCACATGCTGTGGACCAAGGTATTGAAGAACATCAAATAGGCTAAATTAAGAGGTGCAGTTGGAGTCAACAATCAAATAAAAAGTCCAAAATAACATCAGAGTATATGAGATAGGAGTGATTTGGAAACCAGGAATAAGGTCCGGGGAACAATAGACAACCAAACAGATAAAGTGAATGGAGCAGGGCCTATGAAAGCAGCACTTGGAGAAATTCCCAAAGCTAATGAAGCATCAATAAAAATCTATGTATTTTTAATTTTTAATTTATTATTATTTTTTTTTGAGACGGAGTCTCACTCTTTAGACAGGCTGGAGTGCAGTGGCGCAATCTCGGCTTACTGCAACCTCCGCCTCCCAGGTTCAAGCGATTCTCTTGCCTCAGCCTCCTGAGTAGCTGGGACAACAACATCTCTAGTCTTATTTGCAGCAGAGGTAAGAGAGCCAAATTTGTCCAATAATAATAGATTTGAACTATGTTTGTGAAAAATAGAATAAAATGGAGAGGGGGGACTTGAGAGGTTTTAAATGTCTGGCAGATTGGGATGGAAGATTTGGCAGAGGTCGATAATGATGCCAATGGTTTGAGGTGAGTTAGAGATACTGCTGTTATGCAGAGGGCTGCATCAAATGTGGTATATATAACATTAGTAATTCACACTAGATCATCACATATTCAAATTTTCAAAGTTATTGAAATAATAAATACAAAATTTTTGAATGCATGAAATTCTAATGGCATGCACATTACTGACACTTGGTACCTAATTTCCAAGTTACCATGAAATCATTCTAAGAACTGCATATGAAAACCTTCTTGAAGTTCTAAATTGATCTTTCTCTAGTGGAGAAGTTTGTTGTTCTCTTAGCTTAACTAATACAAATATGACTATATTAGACACATGACGAGCATGCTTAGTTCAAAGTACAGTGATTCAGTAAGACACATACTACTTTTAAGAATACATGTACTATGATAGATTTAAAAATTGAGTATTGTCATAAAACATATGAGATAGAATGAGATCTCAAACAAAGATATTCAAGCAAGTTTATTGTTAGATAAATCGGCTTTAAAAGTAGCAATATAGTTGTTAAATCACCATTAGAAGAGATAACTGTTAGGGAAACATTTCAATTTCTAGTAGAATACTCAGTGGGAATTTGTGGATGATGATGATATAACACTTTTAGAAATCCAAGACTGTGAGAGTTCAAAATAAGGAAACAGGTCAAATGGGATACATAATTTGCCTAAATTCATTCCTGTTTGTAATCCAGTGAGATAACATGTCAGAGATGTTGTTGGAATCTGAGTGTGATATGGAAACCATCCAGGACAAGGTAGAAGTTTAGTTTTACATATACTCAGATTGTTGACAACTTTTTGGTTAAAATTGTCCTTTTTTGTTCCACTGATGTCCTATTCAAGTGTCAAGATTATGTACCTGGTGATTCTTGTAGGGGTATGGGATACAATAAAGTTAGAAACTTCTGATGGATATACTAAGTCTTTTTTATTATTTGTATAAGTTTATGGGGTACAAGTGCAGTTTGGTTACATGGCTATATTGTGTAGTGGTGAAGTCTGGGCTTTTAGTGTAATCATTAACTGACTAATGTACCTTATACCCATTAAGTAATTTCTCATCTGTCACCCGTTTCCCACCCTCCCACACTTCTGAGTCTCCATTGACTATTACTCCACAGCATATGCCCATGTGTACACATTATTTGGCTCCCATTTGTAAGTGAGAACATGTGGTATTTCTCTTTGTTTCTGAGTTGTTTCACTCAGGATAATGGCTTTCAGTTATGTACATGTTGCTGCAAAAGGCATAACTTCATTCTTTTAATAAAGTAATTCTTTACATCCTGTTTTTGAATCTCAGCATCCAGATAGTTGCTGATCTTACGATCATCCCAGAGGAAGAAACTTTTCCATGGAAATTCCTGGGAGATTAACTTAAAAGAAAGCTGTTGGATAAGTCTAAACTAATCCAAGTAAAAATCTTACAATTTGGGGATTATCTTTTGCTTCATGTTCTTGTTAACTTGTCTTGCCTATTAAGATTCCTAATTCTCACTCACTGAGATGCTTCAGGGCATTCAGAATATAATGTTTGCTGTGACAAAGTAAAAATTACTCTTAGCAACTGAAAAACTGTAAACTGAGAATACTATTAATTAGCATCAGGGTATCTAGTTCTGCCTCTATAGGCCACACACATTAGCTGTTTGGCCTTGCACATGTATACAGTTTCTCTCCTGAGGCAGGTTAACTAGTTCTAGGGCAGCCGTGGAAAAGCTGGAAATATGATGCCAGTTAACTTTGACTCTAAATGTGAATAATAAATTGGTCCTGTTTCCCTGAAAACACATAACACCTCTCAGTGTAAAAGCCTATAAGTAAATTAAATATTTCCTTCAAAGTTTGCCCTATGAAAGAATGTTGAACACGTCAAGAACATCACAGGAAGTTGCATCAAAACATTAGCCTGAGCGGTACATCCACACGTCTAGCCATTCCTTGAGAAGTCTCAGTTTTCCATTTACAAATTCACGTTTGTTAGGTCATGCAATCCTTAAGGTTCTTTTAGGATCCATCACCTCTGGGTACCATCTGAAATGAGGATGTGTCCTTCATCTCAACCATACTAAAGCAAGCAATAGTTCATGATGGCAATTTTCTTGATTCTGTAATGCACCACTTTCCTGTGAGGCCTAAATGTTTATTGATTCCAACACCCAGAGACTGACTCCTATCCCCAGATCTTCTGTCAACCTAATGATTAAGTAATTTGATTTTAGTTTGATAGACAAATACCACATAACTCCAATTCATTTTTAATTCCTACAGCCCTTAGTGACTGGCAGCTCCAAATAAACAGTATTAATAAATCATCAATCTGTAACTAAAGAGCAGGTTCTTCCAGGAACGTTTGCCAGTTGCACACTGTAGGAAGTCTCAGAGGAATATTTGTCATTCTCACAGTTACAATGGGACACAAGAGCAGCCATTTGAGACAGCTTAGCTAAGGGGTGAGGAAAGGAAAACATAAACTACAGCAAAAATAATTTTATGAATTGATAACTAGTGGCTTTTTATTTACAGTAAACATATAAAAAGAGAAAAAAATACTTAATACCCTGGTTCCCTAATAGGCATTTGATGGAGTGTAACAAAAGACTATTTGTAAATGGTATCTGAAAGAGAGATAAGCAGGAACTAAAAAGGGCAGGAAATTGAATGTGTTCTTCCCTCCCACCTCACCACAAGATTTCAGATGAGTTTGCAAAGGTCATTCACATAATTATTACAGTAACAGGTTCAAGGCCTTTTGAGCAGAGCAGATCTGATTGTGTGTTAATGGCTGCAAGAGCAAGATAAGAAACATGTAAAATTTTTTAAAAAGAGAGAAAAAAAGAGAAAATCTGCCTGTAACACTATTAGCTGGCAGGCCTGTCATTATGGATAAACTGATGTTGTTTTGTAGCGTTTGGCTTTTTTATTACAGAGTAACCCTGTTTGCCCTTGTGTATTGGGTCATTTAAGCATCAGTGACCAGATTTTACTTCTGTTTCTGTTGGAGGCTAGTTGACATATCTAGTGCTCTTTCTAGGGTCTGTAAAAGGTCACACGGTGAAATGAAACTTGCCAGAAAACTATAGCTAATGTAAATGTGGTAAGAATTTTCAAGGCCAAAACATGTGAAAGCATCTGGAGACATCTGTCTGGCCAAACCAAAGGCAGTAACACACCTCCTGTTATGAAAGATCAATCACATTTCTCATACCTGAATTCATTCAGTGTACATATTCAGCACCTGCTGCATCTAATAATGCTCTAGGGATCCCAAAATTCAGCACACTAAAGAAGACAGATATCTATAGCTGTTCCAGTGGGGCAGGCTAAATAGTGAAATGTAGGTGGTCACACTGAAAGGTAAGAGACTGGAGCTCAAGAAAAGCAGGGAGGATTAATGGAGGAGGGGCATTTGACGTAAGCCTTACTGAATAGGATTGTGGGGCAGGATAGATATTTTAGACAGAGGAAACTGTGTCACAGAGCCACAGATGTGGCAAAGCCAGGATGGCTGAGGTATAGTAAGGGGTGCAGTTGATTAAGAGATGGGTTTGAAAATGTCAAGTGGAATTGGTGCTACTGTTTAAATGACCACCTCTCAGCTCCATCCTCTACTAGGCTTTGTGGTACTGGGGCAAGGGTTCTGAAAACCACATTTCTACACTGCCAGGAGGGGGCACTGTAGGGAGATTGCAAGGCTGAAGAAGCCAGAAGGAACACCATCGTTGTTTATTTCCTGTGGGCTTCCCAGGGGCTTCCTGTCAGCTCGATAGCCCCTGAATGGCACCTCAGCAGGGAATCCTTCCCTTAGCAGCAATAAAATACAGTTCAAGTTTTTTCCCAACACTTTCAGGAGAGGCTTCATTGTGTCCCACTTCGTCCATTCCTCAGAATTCTTGGTCCTAGGGGTACATCTGAGGTTCTAATTTTTATTAATTCTAATTCTTTTTTTCCCCCCTTACCTCTAGAGATGGTAGCTGCTTTCTGTAGTTACTGACTTTCCATAAAGTTCTCATTTTTACCCTGTGTTACTTAGTTAACAACTTGTATGGGCTGGACTTAAACACTGAGCACACCCAGTTGAAAACATCACCAATGTTTAATTATATACTGCATTTAGAAAGAACCACTGAAATGAAATATTTATTAGGGTCCTAAGGGATTCCTTGCTTGCATTGTCCCTTGACCCCTTTATCTCTCAATCCCTTTCAAGAGTATTGTACCTGATGTTTAAAAGCCGACCTTGGAAATATCCACAATAACCCCATTTCCATTAAGGTCCCTAGATTGAATGCTGAGCAAGAAAAGTCAACACTCATCATTTCTACTTCCTGGATATGCCACCAACCGGTTTGAAATGTTATGTAATAATGTCACTGCCAAAAGGCAGTTAATTAAGTCTGCCTGATTCTATCCTTCTACTCTTAATATTCAGCCTGAGAATGTGTGGATGGGCAGCCAGCAAAAGAAAATATTTAAATTTTCGTTTCCAATCCTGACCCAGATCATTTCTCTCCTTTCAGGGAACATTACATCTAAACCATTAGAAGACAAATGGGCATTATTATATTCTTACAGCAGTTCAGGCAAAGAGCTTCCACTGCCTCTCCTGATAACCCAGTTTCCCTGTAACAACTCATTTTTTCATGAACTTCTACATTACACCCAATCTAATTCTTCTAGTTTAATCCCATACTGTTGGAATTTCACTCCCTCCCTTGTTGAAACTGGAGAACAGCTTGTGAGCAATCTCTTGATAATAACCTTCCATATGTCTAAACCAGTCTTTTCTTTCCAACTAATTAATCCCCCTCCATTTTTTTTTTTACACTTTGCTGTGTTACCCAAGCCTTTACATACCTTTGTTTCCCTATGGGTTCTCTTGAAACACTTCCCATTTTTCTGGGGAAATACCTTTACAGACAGTATAGCATGATATAGCATGTCACGGTCACTTTAAAAGTTCTGTACTCAACCTTGTGCAATTCTATTTTAAGAGCTATTTCTAGGAGTAAACTAGTACACTCTTGTTGAGTTCTGCTCCAGCAGCCTGTAGAGAAAACATCTGAATTTTCGCTAAATTCAGATTTAAGTAGAGGTTTCTTTAGGAGAAAGCTTGCAGCTTATGGCTTTTTAGTAGACTTTTTACCTAACTTCAAATGAGGCAGGTTGGTAAATTTGGGTGATATCAAAATATAGTAAAATTTGATAACCTACAATTATTTGTTTTCTTTTTTCTTAAAGAATATGGGAAAGATATAAGCTTATATATGGAAAAATTATCTGTGCATTATAGCTGCACTAATATGCACGCTCTAAGTAACAAAAACTGAACACCATTAAGGACAGATCATAAAAAGGTAACTGTACTTTCCAAGAGAAATCACAATGAACCAGTATTCTAACACGGTTTGAATGTATGATTCTTTAAAAATCAAAGAAATTTCCTAATTTGGCTTATCGAAGATTCATTAGATCATGTCAAGGGCCAAAGAGAGTTCAAAAGAAGAAAATTTGCTGTTAGGTTGTTAAGTCTTAGTTTAAACTTGGAACCAAAAAGGCGAATAGTGAATTTCTGTGGAGATAAAGGTTGGCTATTAGAGGACAGCTTGGTCAAGGTCCATAGTGTATGTTTACATAATGATTAAGAATGGACTCAAGGTGTAATATTACATTCAGCAAAATATTTGAAGATATAATGCAATTTCTTTGAGAACAGAGACTATGGAAATCCTGGAAGATATGACAGTCCCTAGAACATAGTTGGCTTTCAGAGCTTGCAGACCTGCATTTGGTTCTAGGTTCTTTGAGGTACTTTAGTCTACTATATTTATGAAATGAGCTACACAAAGCCCAACTCTTATATTTTGACACCTCTGAATTAATAAGTGAATTATTTTTTCTTAAGACAGAAGGTACTGGCACACATTATTTTATTGCACTTCACTTTATTGTGTTTTGCAGACACTGTGTTTTTCACAAATTGAAGGTCTGTGGCAATGCTATGTCAAGCAAATCTACTGGCACAATTTTTCTAATAGCCTGCTTTCACTTATTATCACTGTGTCCCATTTTGGAAATTCTTGGAGCATCTCAATTTTTTATTATGTCTGTTATAATGATCTGTGATTAGTCATCTTTCAATGTTATTATTGTAACTGTTTTGAAGCTCCATGAACTATGCCCATAGAAGACAGCAAACTAAAATAATAAATGTATGTGTTCTGACTGTTCCATCAACTGGCCACTCCCTCATCTCTCTCCCTCTCTTCAGGATTTCTTATTCCCTGAGACACAATAATATTAAAATTAAGCCAATTAATAACCCTACAATGGTTTCTAAGTGTTCAAGTGAAAGGAAGAGCAGCACATCTGTCAGTTTAAATCAAAGGCTAGAAATTAAGCTTAGTGAGGAAGGCAAGTCAAAAACCAAGACAGACTGAAAGCTAGGCCTGTGCTCAGTTAGCCGACTTGTGAATGAAAAAAAAAAAGTTTTTGAAGGAAATTAAAATTGCTACCCCAGTGAAAACACAAATGATAAGAAAGCAAAACAGGCTTATTGCTGATAGAAAGAAAGTTTTAATGGTCTGGGTAGATCAAACCAGCCACAACATTCCCTGAAGCCAAAACCTAACTCACAGAAAGGCCCTAAATGTCTTCAATTCTATGAAGGCTGACAGAGGTGAGGAAGCTGCAAGAGAAAAGTTTGAACCTAGCAGAGGCTGGTTTATAAGGTTTAAGGAAAGAAGCTATCTTTATAACATTAAAGTGGAAGGTGAAGTAGCAAGTGCTGATGTGAAAACTTCAGCTAGTTATTCAGAAAATCTATCTAAGATAATTGATGGAAATGGCTACACTAAACAACAGATTTTCAATGTAGACAAAACAGCCTTATTTTGAAAGAAGATGCAACCTAGGACTTTCATAGCTAAAAACAAGTCAGTGTCTGGTTTCAAAACTTCAAAGGACAGGCTAACTTTCTTGTTAGGGGCTAATGCAGCTGGTGACGTTGAATCTGAAGCCAATGCTCATTTACCAATTTGAAAATCATAGGGCCCTTAAGAATTATGTTAAATCTACTCTGTGTTCTTGAAATGGAACAACAAAGCCTGGTGACACTGCATGTTTACAGCATGGTTTACTAAATATTTTAAGCCCACTGTTGAGACCTACAGCTCAGAAAAAAAGACTCCTTTCAAAATAATACTGTCCATTGACAATGCATCTCATTAGCGAAGAGAAATACTACTGTCCATTGACAATGCATCTCATTACCCAAGAGTTCTGATGTAGATGAGCAATATTAATGTTATTTTCATGCCTGCTAACACAAAATCAATTTTGTAGCCCATGGATCAAGGAGTAATTTTCAAATTTCAAATCCAATGACTTAAGAATGAATTACAAAATACATTTTATAAGGGTAGAGATTCCATAGGTAATTATTCCACTGATAGATCTGAGCAAAGTAAATTGTAAACCTTCTAGAGAGGATTCGCCATTCTATATACCATTAAGAACAGCTGTGATTCATGGAAGGTCAAAATATTAATAGGAATTTGGAAGAAGTGGTTCTAACCCTCATGGATAACTTGGAGGGGTTCAAAACTTTAGTGGGGAAAGTAAATGCAGATGTGATGAAAACAGCAAGATAACAAGAACTAGAAGTGGAACAGGAAGATGTGACTGAATTGCTGCAATCTCACGATAAAAGTTGAATGAAGAGTTGCTTCTTATGGATGAGCAAAGAAAGGGGTTTCTTGAGTTAGTGTAGTCCTGGAAAAGATGCTGTGGACATTGTTGAAATGACAACAAAGGATCTGGACCATTACATCTACTTGGTTGACAAAGTGGTGGCAGAGTTAGAGAGGATTGACTCCAATTTTGAAAGAAGTTCTACTGTGGGTAAAATGCTATCTAACAGCATCATAAGCTACAGAGTCAATCAATGTGACAAACCTTATTGTTGTCTTCTTTTAATAAATTGCCACAGCCACCCCAACCTTTAGCAGCCACCACCCTTATCAGTCAATAGCATCAGTCATCAGCAAAAAGATGATAATTTGCTGAAGACTTATATCAGCATGAGCAATTTTTAGCAGTAAAATATTTTTAAATCAACGTGTGTAAATTGTTGTATGTATGTAAGCCAGGCATGTAAATGCTACTGCCTACTTAATAACATACAATATAATGTAAACATAACTTCTGTGTGCTCTGGAAAACCAAAAAATTCATGTGACTTTCTTCATTGTGAAATTTGCTTTATTGTGGCATCTGGAACTGAACCTCAAATATCTCCAAGGAATGACTGTATATCTAGGAACATATTTGGTTCAATGAATAACATGATAAAAAATAGTGATTTATGGTAGGAAATGTGAATTACTCCGCTAAGGCTGGGAACAGGTAAAGTTGAAAATAGCAAGATTTTGTACTTATGATCTTCTTTGTTTGTCCCTCAAACCATTATTATATAAAATATTACACTTTGTGATATATAAATATTTTTCACTCCATCCTTTGCCCTAGCTTCTATAGATATGATAAATCTCTCTTATCCTTAGCCTCAAAAAAGGCAACAAACAAATCCTTCTTAAGAGGCAGTAGATCAAGAAAGTTTTTTGGGGTTGTCATGTTAAACAGTAAGTACAACTTGGACATGAAAATATGCTTTGAGAATAAAATAAAAATAAAGTTTCAGTTATACAAATTAAATAAGTTCTAGAGATTTGCTGTTGCCAACCTAGTACCTATAGTCAGCAATATTGTATTGTGCACTTAAAAGCTCATTAAGAAGGTAGATGTCATGATAAGTGTTCTTACCACAAAAATAAAAAAGAGAGTTGGAGAATGGTAGGTCTAAGTTAACAAAGATAAATGATAGAGTGAGGCAAGAATAGGTAGGAAAAGGTAGAGGCAAGTATAGCATGTAATTTTGGATATAAATAAGAGAATACGGGAGAGCAGGAGATACAGGTGCAGAGTATACATGATGTATTTGTGGGGGGGACAGGATAAGGCATAAATAACTTATTTATTTTTGATTAACTGTTAATAATAAAGAGTTGATTGGATTAAGTAGATGGAATATTTTTAAGTTCATTCATTCCTATTTCCTGAATGCTATGTGCCAGGTGCTGTGGTAGGCACTAGGAATAAGTAAATGAAGAATACAGTAATGATTCCTGCCTTCTTGGGGATTAAAGCCTAAGAGTGGGGAAAGTGCTGGCTATTCTGTTTTCCTCCCTTGCCTGTCACCTTCTTGTTCCCTGCAGACCCTCTGCCTTGCCTTGTGAACTGACAATTGCATCCGCAGGCTTGTAGAGTGGCTTCTGTTTGACTTCAGCCATGAGAGCCACCAGAGGAGATGAGAAGGCAAGAGGAAAAAGAAGTCAGGATATAAATTTCCTAATCCTTTCTTCAGCTGTGTTCTTATATAAAGGCTGTGTCTCTTCACAGCAACAGTCATTACAGCTCCCATTGGTTGATCCCTGGCCCACTTCATATCTCCAGTTTTCCCTGGTTCTGGAAACACCATCTCCTCCCACTTGCTCCTTCAGGATTACACATGACAATGAGTCATTGCTATCAGGAGTTTATACATGTCTTGGTTTTTCTTGTTCTTCTTAGCCTGCTCACAGATCTTCAGCTCATCACTTTACTAAATTCTATTGAAATGTCTGAGTTGGATCCTGATTACATCTGGGATCCTGACACAGATAAATGTTTTAAGTGGAGAAACACGTATGTGGGAAATTTAAAATTGTGTTAAGGACTGTAAAAAAGGGATTAAAAAGTATACAGACAGAGAATAATGGGTGTGAGTTAGATAACATGTACATTCATAGATAGCCTATTTCAGGAGTGATATTGAAATTGAGGCCAGAGGATGAATGAGAGCCCCCATGGAAAGAACAGGGGGAGAGAGATCCCAGTGTAAGAAACAGCAAGTGCAAAGGCCACAAGACAAAAAAAAAGTTTGACATGCTCCATTCCAGAATTTGGTTATAACACTCTACAAGGAATGTTTGGTTAGGACACAGTGAGGGGGAAAACAGCCTGAGTGGTAAGATCCTGACGATATCCAGTGACAGATACTGAAGTTTTTGCAACAGACAAAGGCCCACAAGAGCACCATGTGCTTGCTGAAGTAAGAAGCAGCTCAAGTGAGCTGTGGGAGCCACGCGGATGCTCAGGAATTAATTTGCAATTGCTGTGATTATGTTGGGATGAAATGGTGATCCACACCACAAGACAATGTGCTGTAAAAGGATGAACACATGTCAAGATGTTATTTCTTTGATCTTGTTTATTTTCATAAGGGTGGCAGATTGGTCTTTAGGTAGAGGGTAGACATCTTCATAAGATGTTTCTTTTTTCCATAATTGTGACATTTCTTAGAAAGGACACCAAGTGATAAACAGAGACCTTCTTGAGTGAAGCAGTCTTCTTTACACTCCCTTTTATGTATTTACTTTTGAGAGTTGGGTAGCAAAGAAGGAGTAGAAAGGTTGAAGAAAATAACATATTAAAAGAACATAAGTGATTTAGTGATTTGACTGTTGGGTCTTACCTAGAATGAAAGAGACTGTAAGCCTCAATTTACTAAACATATTTCAAGGCTTCCAAAGGCAACCACATCTAACTTATTAAATAAGCTTGCCTGGGGAAATATTTATATTGGTTTTTTCCTATAAGTCTAGTTTTCTAATTTGTTTTACAATATGACCTCCCTTTGTTTGTGGCCTTAGTATAAATTCTGGCACTGAAGAATTATTTAACTACAGGATACACTAAAACCCTTGTCTTCAAGCCAGAATATATTATTTTTGCATTTGTCAGTATTGAGCTTCTTACTTGGGACATTTTCAGACCTATTTGACACAGAACAGCAAATGGTGACAAACCAGACTTTTAACTATTATTCAATCTTATGCGCTTAACTAACATCTTTAGGTTTAGGAGGCTTCCTCAGATATCTGCCCAAATACCTCCTAGATACATTTTACATTTTGAAATTTATTTCTACTTCTGGCTATCTTTTGCTTAAAAGATGGGTCACATAACAATTCATTTTGCTTATAGTCTATTATGATGTTGTTTCTACTTAAAGTAGAATTGCATATATGTCTTATTTTAATCATTCTTGATATTAAAACACGGTGTTTACTATGTTCGTTCCTTAAATCTACCTTAGCTAGCTGATTTTTTGTCATATTTACTAATATTTTCCTTACCCAAAGGCTAAACCTACTTTAATAATCACACTTGTGTATCTGGCTTTATCTCCGAGTACTTTATAGTTATATTGTGGGAGTTTGCTCTCTGCAACTGAAGTTAAGTAATTAGTAACTCTGACAGAGATACATTTATGCAAATTATAGTGTCTAGAAAGAACCCTGAAGTCTTAGCATCCTAAAAAAAAAGAAAACAACACTCTGTTTAAAATAAATCATAATACAATAATCAAATATAATCAAAATTCCACTTCTGCCTCTGATCTCAATACCTATACTGTAAACATCATTGACAAGTGACTATATATCCTGGGCTGTAAACCCTCAGAAATATAATCATTAAATATGGCAGGCATTAGCATGTGACATAAATTCTTTCTCTCATTTGGGAAATGATTACATGTTGTACATATTGACAGCTGGTGCTATTAAGTTATGATTTCAGGAGATACTAAGGTAATACACAGGATCACTATGTAACTATTATCCTCATGATTTTTATCTGCTGTCTTATTATGTCTTATAAGAATCTACATCCTATACATGAGGAGCAGATAGTACTTTGCCTTTCTATCTTCTTTATTTACATAAGGACTGAATGAAATTTAAAGATGACACTTAAATTTTAAGATACATAGGTAAAGATGTAAAGCTTTTTATTCATTAAAGAAGTTTTTTTATGTTAAAATAGCAAAATTATAGAAACTGTTGTCCATAGAAATGACTAGAAGATAACTGTAACTGATTACTTCATCAATTGCCATTTGACCTTCTTTTAGAAAATAAATAGCCACCATGGAACAACTGGGGAAATGACACCTAGCAAAATAAGTGATCCAAAAATAAGATATGTCACATTTTAATAAAAAATTGTGTTTAATTATGGAAGAACATGTACTTACTTGCCAAGTGCAAAGCATTCCATCTTAACAGTTGTTCCTTTAGCAGCTGTAACCGTGAAAGGAAAATGGACCTCAATTTTCGGCTCATATTCTCCCATCACACCTTAGAAAGAAAGAATAGTCTTTAAGCATCAAATGAATGTTACAATTTGTTTCTTAATCCTGGAGATGTTACATTGAAAATCACTGTGGTTTGGTTGTTAATGTCTGTTTGATGACTGTTAAATTTTTCGATGTATTGAAATAAGTAGTACACTTAGGCTCTATCATTTTGATGAAATCCTAGTCTTCCCCTGAGGACTAGATTACATGCATGTTCATTATCATTTAAACTAATAATTATTGAAATTGTTAATCAACATTAGTAGTACAGTTACTAATTGTTCTAAAAAAACTATGACTATTTCCCATTTTAAATAAGAAAAGTTATCAAAATTTTCTTATTGCCAAATAAATATTCATTTATAAAGTCAAATATTTATTGAATATCTATAATATGCACGGCATTTTGCCAAATATTGTGGGAGTAACAAAAGATTAATCAGTTGTGCTCTCAAGCACTCAGCAACTATATTCTTAAAGAGAGAAACAACATACTGTACACTCAAGTATGGGAGAAAAGCTATCTATCAAATTACTGTAATGAAAGATAAGAAGTGATCATTGCCATGAATGAGGTATTAAGTATTATGCACCAATATGGTTTGGCTCTGTGTCCCCACTAAAATCACATCTCAAATTGTAATCTGCGTATGTCGAGAGGCACGTGGTAGGAGGTGACTGGATCATGGAGGTAGATTCCCCCATGCTGTTCTCGTGATAGTAAGAGAGTTCTCACAAAATTTCATGGTTTTAAAAGTGGCAGTTTCCCTGTTCTCTCTCGTCTCTTCTGCCACCACGTAAGACATGCCTTGCTTCTCCTTCTCCTTCCATCATAATTGTAAGTTTTCTGAGTCCTTTTCATGTGGTAGAAAAGAAAAACCCCATTTTCTGTTGAGAAATTAAACCCGGCTGCAGAAATTTGCATAAGTAACGAGGAGCTGAGTGTTAATAGTGAAGACAATGGGAAAAATGTCTCCATGGAATTTCAGAGATCTTCATAGCAGCCCCTCTCATCACAGGCCTGGACGCCTAGGAGGGAAAAATGGTTCCATGGCCAGCCTGGGGCCCCACTTCTCCGTGCAGCCTCGAGACATGGTGTCTCGTGTTCTAGCTGCTCCAACTCCAGCCATGGCTAAAAGGGGTCAACATACAGCTCAGGCCATTGCTTCAGAGGTGCAAGCCCCAAGCCTTGGCAAATTCCATGTGGTGTTGGGCCTACATATGTGCAGAAGGCAAGAGTTCAGGTTTGGCAACCTCTTCCTAGATTTCAAGGGTGTATGGAAACACCTAGATGTCCAGGCAGAAGTTTGCTGCAGGGAAAGATCCCTAATGGAGAACCTCTACTAGGGCAATGCAGAGGGGAATGGCGGGGTTGGAGCCTCCACACAGTGTCCCCACTGGGGTATTGTTTACTGGAGCTGTAAGAATATGGCCACCATCCTCCAGACCCCAGAATGGTGGATCCACAGCTTGCACTGAGCACCCAGAAAAGCCATAGGCACTCAACGGCAGCCCATGAAAGAGCCAGAGGTGCTGTGCCCTGCAGAACCACAGGGGCAGAGCTGCCCAAGTCCTTGGGAGCGTATGCCTTCTATCATCATGCCCTACATGTGAGACATGGAGTCAAGGAGACTATTTTGGTGCTTTAAGATTTAATAACTGCCTTGCTGGGTTTTGTATGTGCATGTGGCCTGTGGCCTCTTTGTTTTGGCCAATTTCTCCCATTTGGAATGGGAACATTTACCCAATGCCTGTATCTTGGAAGTAACTAACTTGTTTTTTATTTTACAGGCTCATAGGTGGAAAGGACTATTCTTGTCTCAAATGAGACTTTGGACTTGGACTTTTTATTTATTTATTTATTTATTTTTATTATTATTATACTTTAAGTTTTAGGATACATGTGCACAATGTGCAGGTTAGTTACATATGTACACATGTGCCATGCTGGTGTGCTGCACCCATTAACTCATCATTTAGCATTAGGTATATCTCCTAATGTTATCCCTCCCCGCTCCCCACACCCCACAACAGTCCCCAGAGTGTGATGTTCCCCTTCCTGTGTCCATGTGTTCTCATTGTTCAGTTCCTATCTATGAGTGAGAACATGCAGTGTTTGGTTTTTTGGCCTTGCGACAGTTTACTGAGAATGATGATTTCCAATTTCATCCATGTCCCTACAAAGGACATGAACTCATCATTTTTTATGGCTGCGTAGTATTCCATGGTGTATATGTGCCACATTTTCTTAATCCAGTCTATCATTGTTGGACATTTGGGTTGGTTCCAAGTCTTTGCTATTGTGAATAGTGCTGCAATAAACATACGTGTGCATGTGTCTTTACAGCAGCATGATTTATAGTCCTTTGGGTATATACCCAGTAATGGGATGGCTGGGTCAAATGGTATTTCTAGTTCTGGATCCCTGAGGAATCGCCACACTGACTTCCACAATGGTTGAACTAGTTTACAGTCCCACTAAGAGTGTAAAAGTGTTCCTGTTTCTCCACATCCTCTCCAGCACCTGTTGTTTCCTGACTTTTTAATGATCGCCATTCTAACTGGTGTGAGATGGTATCTCATTGTGGTTTTGATTTGCATTTCTCTGATGGCCAGTGATGATGAGCATTTTTGCATGTGTCCTTTGGCTGCATAAATGTCTTCTTTTGAGAAGTGTCTGTTCATGTCCTTCGCCCACTTTTTGATGGGGTTCTTTGTTTTTTTCTTGTAAATTTGTTGGAGTTCATTGTAGATTCTGGATATTAGCCCTTTGTCAGATGAGTAGGTTGTGAAAATTTTCTCCCATTTTATTGGTTGCCTGTTCACTCTGATGGTAGTTTCTTTTGCTGTGCAGAAGCTCTTTAGTTTAATTAGATCCCATTTGTCAATTTTGGCTTTTGTTGCCATTGCTTTTGGTGTTTTAGACATGAAGTCCTTGCCCATGCCTGTGTCCTGAATGGTATTGCCTAGGTTTTCTTCTAGGGTTTTTATGGTTTTAGGTCTAACGTTTAAGTATTTATTCCATCTTGAATTAATTTTTGTATAAGGTGTAAGGAAGGGATCCAGTTTCAGCTTTCTACATATGGCTAGCCAGTTTTCCCAGCACCATTTATTAAATAGGGAATCCTTTCCCCATTGCTTGTTTTTGTCAGGTTTGTCAAAGATCAGATAGCTGTAGATATGCGGCATTATTTCTGAGGGCTCTGTTCTGTTCCATTGGTCTATATCTCTGTTTTGGTACCAGTACCAGGCTATTTTGGTTACTGTAGCCTTGTAGTATATTTTGAAGTCAGGTAGCGTGATGCCTCCAGCTTTGTTCTTTTGGCTTAGGATTGACTTGGTGATGCGGGCTCTTTTTTGGTTCCATATGAACTTCAAAGTAGTTTTTTCCAATTCTGTGAAGAAAGTCATTGGTAGCTTGATGGGGATGGCATTGAATCTGTAAATTACCTTGGGCAGTATGGCCATTTTCACGATATTGATTCTTCCTACCCATGAGCAAGGAATGTTCTTCCATTTGTTTGTATCCTCTTTTATTTCATTGAGCAGTGGTTTGTAGTTCTCCTTGAAGAGGTCCTTCACATCCCTTGTAAGTTGGATTCCTAGGTATTTTATTCTCTTTGAAGCAATTGTGAATGGGAGTTCACTCATGATTTGGCTCTCTGTTTGTCTGTTATTGGTGTAGAAGAATGCTTGTGATTTTTGTACATTGATTTTGTATCCTGAGACTTTGCTGAAGTTGCTTATCAGCTTGAGGAGGTTTTGGGCTGAGATGATGGGGTTTTCTGGATGTGCAATCATGTCGTCTGCAAACAGGGACAATTTGACTTCCTCTTTTCCTAATTGAAGACCCTTTATTCCCTTCTCCTGCCTGATTGCCCTGCCCAGAACTTCCAACACTCTGTTGAATAGGAGTGGTGAGAGAGGGCATCCCTGTCTTGTGCCCGTTTTCAATGGGAATGCTTCCAGTTTTTGCCCATTCAGTATGATATTGGCTGTGGGTTTGTCATAGATAGCTCTTATCATTTTGAGATACGTCCCATCAATCCCTAATTTATTGAGAGTTTTTAGCATGAAGATTGTTGAATTTTGTCAAAGGCCTTTTCTGTATCTATTGAGATAATCATGTGGTTTTTGTCTTTGGTTCTGTTTATATGCTGGATTACATTTATTGATATGCGTATATTGAATCAGCCTTGCATCCCAGGGATGAAGCCCACTTGATCATGGTGGATAAGCTTTTTGATGTGCTGCTGGATTCGGTTTGCCAGTATTTTATTGAGGATTTTTGCATCAATGTTCATCAAGGATATTGGTCTAAAATTGTCTTTGTTGGTTGTGTCTCTGCCCGGCTTTGGTCTCAGGATGATGCTGGCCTCATAAAGTGAGTTAGGGAGGATTCCCTCTTTTTCTATTGATTGGAATAATTTCAGAAGAAATGGTACCAGTTCCTCCTTGTACCTCTGGTAGAATTCGGCTGTGAATCCATCTCGTCCTGGGCTCTTTTTGGTTGGCAAGCTATTGATTATTGCCACAATTGCAGCTCCTGTTGTTGGTCTATTCAGAGATTCAACTTCTTCCTGGTTTAGTCTTGGGAGAGTGTATGTGTCGAGGAATTTATCCATTTCTTCTAGATTTTCTAGTTTATTTGCATAGAGGTGTTTGTAGTATTCTCTGATGGTAGTTGATCCAAAATTGACACCCTAACATCACAATTAAAATAACTAGAAAAGCAAGAGCAAACACATTCAAAAGCTAGCAGAAGGCAAGATATAACTAAAATCAGAGCAGGACTGAAGGAAATAGAGACCAAAAAAACCCTTCAAAAAGTTAATGAATCCAGGAGCTGGTTTTTTGAAAGGATCAACAAAATTGATAGACCGCTAGCAAGACTAATAAAGAAAAAAAGAGAGAAGAATCAAATAGACGCAATCAAAAATGATAAACTGGACTTGGAGTTTTGGATTAATGCTAAAATGAGTCAAGGTATGATTAGTTTTGAAATGTGCAAAGAATGTGAGATTTGGGAGGGGTCGGGGTAGAATGATATGGTTTGGCTCTGTGTCCCCACCAAAATCTCATCTGAAATGGTAATCCCCACATGCCAAAGGAGGGACCTGGTGGAAGATGACTGAATCATGGGGGCAGTTTCCCCCATGCTGTCCTCATGATAGTGAGGGAGTTCTCATGAAATCTGAGACTTTTAAAGTGGCAGTTTTCCATGCTCCCTCTCTCTCTCCTGCTGCCATGTAAGATGTACCTTGCCTCCCTTTCACCTTCTGCCATGATTGTAAGTTTCCTGAGGCCTTCCCAGCCATGTGAAACTGTGAGTCAATTAAGTCTGTTTTCTTTATAAGTTACCCAGTCTCAAGTATTCTTTATCAGTGTGAAAACAGACTAATACATGCATATTTGAGGAGATCATAAGAATAATGAGGGTTTGGATAAGTGGAAAAAAGATAGGAGAGAGTAAATGGAGCTATAAAAAAATGATAAAGAGATGGGAAGTGACCAGAAATAGGAATATCAATTTTTCTGACATCTGGATATGTGAAGGGAAGTGATATTAGATAAATCTGGAAATATATGGATGGAATGAAAAAACAGATGGAATCTGAAAAATAGAGAGCATTGATTATCAGAGTAAAACATTTAGACTTTAATCTGTTTTGGAGCTACAGTGGTTTTGAATAGGGAAGCTGCATTATGCTGAGATGTATATAGTGAAACTGGAGCAGAGACAAATAAATCAATGACATTACTTCAGTAATACAAGATAAAGACCTGAGCTGTAATAATAGTAATAAAAACAGACAAAAGGCACTAGATGGGAAAAACCAATTAATAACTGAATTGGCAAAACTCGGCAGACAATGAGGTACAGGAATAAGGGCATGGGCAGTGTCAATAATAACACTATAATTTGCAGCTTGGGGAATTTGGCAATGTCAGTAAAAGAAAAAAGGACACGGTTAAAGTAGAAATGCTGATGAGCTTCAATTTGGAGGTAATGAGTTTGAAGTACCTACAAGATATTCAGAAGAAAGTATCTGACCACACAGTAAAAATGAGAGAATGACGCTCAGGATGAGTTCTAGACAGGGGAGAACACCTACAGTCATTTAGAGGTGGTAGATGAAGCAGTGAGACTGGATAGGTCTTTCACCTATTAGAAAACAATGCAATAGCTGAGGCCTGGTGGATTTTGGTGCTAGTGCCATCAGATAGCCTTGGAGCAAATTTTCTCCTAAAATTAATTTTTAGAAGCCCCCTATGTGTAAAATACCACATAGAAAACAGCCATGATTTGGCACAGATGCTTCTCTGAGGAGACTGTGCATGTGTTTGGGGGTGTCTATGTTTGTGGCCATATGAGCATGGATGCATCTTTGTGCATATGTAGTTCTCTGTACAATTATTTTGCATATGTATGTGGAATGAGAGGAAAGAAGAAGAAATCCAAATAGAGTAAGATAAATTCTTTAAGATATGAAGGTCATATACACTGGACATGCAAAGGGAAAAAAAGGGCTACCTTTGGCGAGAAAACCATTTTATGTGTTTAATATTTATCTATTTATTTGTTATGTAGGTTTTGAAATAAGTTTTGAAGAAAGCATATGGATAAGTTTAGATGGAAAATGTTTAATCTCACATAAGACAGAAAGGTTATCTTTGCTCTTTGTGGTATTTATTGTTTTTTTTTTTAATTTTTTGGCAAAGGAGAAAAAAATGTCACTAAAGTTTTTATCACAAAGATTTGGCTTCTAGACCTGGCTTCACTGAATGTCTAGTCTGTACCATCTCTGACAGATCAGAAAACTCTGGGTTTCATTTTTCTAATCAGTTTACTGAGGACATAGAAGGGAATTATCACCAATATAATGTCCTACTCTAAAAGGCTAACTCCCTCAATTACTTTCCAGTCTAAAATTTGCTGCACATCAAGAGCCTGATAAATAGCAAGTGAACTGAGTGGTTAGCACTATTATGTCACCAAAAACAAATGTTTAACGACTTCTTCTCTCTTTATCAATAATGTTTGCTTCATCTGCTTCTTCTTAAATATTTCCCCATGCCCCTCCATACTATACCTGCCAGGTTCCTTTCTTTTACTTCCTCTTCATGTCAGCATTTTTCCCCATGGTGTCTCTACTAGCTACTTGAATAGCAGGATGTGGTCTGCTGGTGATACCTATAAACTCAGCCGAATGTTTCTAATGATGTGAAGTTTATCTTTAATGCTCTCTTACTTGTAAGCCCCATAGGAAGACTCCAGGCATCCTGTTTAGAAGCTACCTATGAATGCTCTTGTGAAGCAGTCCTCAAACTTAATTTCCGATTTCCCTGCCTATTCTTAAAATTGATTTGGTATTGTTGTTACTTTTCTACCTGTTAATCTGATGACACAATAACACCTGATTTATCATGATGCTTATTAAACCTAAGCCTCTTATATGCATGAGTCCCTGTGAGTGCTGGCATTTACTCAGTGTCATAGGGTGTTGGAGTGGAAGGTCAAATTTGGAAAATATTTCTATATAATTATTTCTAGTAAATTGTCTAAAGAGATCTTAGGAGAAAGGGACTTCAACCTCCAAAGCTACGGTAATTCATTTTGATTTTTTTCTCTTTCTAAGTATAATACTATTTGTAGAACCCACTTTTATATTAATTCTTTAGTATTCTTTTTATTAAGTAAGGTACCAAGGTTGTACGACATTTTAGGCTCTTCAGAATCTACATCTGCCTGTGAATAATACCAAAGAGTTAATGACACTATTGACTGATATGAGTCAGATCAGATCCATATAGTCTCTCTTCTCTTCCAGATTACATTTATAAATTGCAAAGAAGACATTCTTTTGTTGCCATTGTCGTTAAAAATGACCCAAAGGATGGGTACTTCTGATAGTATTTGGGGGGTAATTTTGCCCAGATACAGCCTTCTGGAGTTCCTCAAATAATTTCCATTATGGCCAAAGGCATTCTTAAGCCTCACTTCTGGCCCCAAGAGGTTGCTAATATCTGAACTATATATTAAAAATAAAACAAAAAGAGTTGAATAAGAGGCTTCAAATTATTTTACCTAATTTGGGCTATACTGCAAGAAATTATAACTGGTTTTTAAAATTTTCTCATCACACTAAGAGTGATGATATAAGGACATATTAGAAAGCTTTTTAGACATCTTGCCATTTAACAAATGATAATATTCAGTGGTTACGTTTTGCTTTACATTTCATGGGATTATTGTGTTACAGCTAAAGTTGAGCCTAGCTCAGGGTTCCCCACCCCTCCAGGCCACAGACCTGCAGTGGTCTGTGGCCTGTTAGGAACCAGGCTGCACAGCAGGAAGTGAGAGGCCGGTAAGTGAGCATTACTGCCTGACTTCCACCTCTTGTCAGATCAGTGGCAGCATTAGATTCTCACAGGAGTTTGCACCCTGTTGTGAACTGTGCATGCAAGGGAGCTAGGCTGCATAATCCTTATGAGAATCTAAAGCCTGATGGTCTGAGGTGGAAAAGTTTCATCCTGAAACCATCCCTCTGTGTCTGTGAAAAAATTGTCCTCCATGAAGTTGATCCCTGGTGCCAAAATGGTTGGGAACCACCCACTGCCTTAGCTGATATAATTTACCCTTCTTCTTTTAGAAATGAGGTAACTGAGAGTCAAAGAGGTCAAGTAACTGGCCCAAGGTCCTACTGAAAGTTGCTGATAAAAGTGTTGCAAAATTAGGGATTTTCGGACCTTATGTGCAGAGCTATTTTCTTGAGATCACTGTGTTGAGAAACTTCAATCACAGAGTATAATAGTCCAGGCATACTATATGTACTACATTAATCACTGACTGTCTGACTTGGCTACATGGTTTATTTCAGTTGCAAGTTTTAGTATCTCAAATCTTGTGCAGTTTAGCTTCAAATTCCTTTTGTTAGGCAGAGTTTGATGCTGAAAGGGAAGGGAGACAGTCCCATAAGACACACAGTCAAAGATCAAAATATCAGGCTTGTCTCTTCAGTCAAGGTAGCTCTTTGATCTTTTGATTGCCCCTAGTATGGAGCTGAATATATAGCTCAAGAAACACTCAATGTGTGTCTCCGTTTCTTTCCCCAGACCTGTCTATCCTGGCTTATGTGGCTGCCCTAGTTTAGAATTACGTGCCATTAGAAGATGACCTTAAATTACCCTAATTTCTCATAAACAGAAGCCTTCCAGCTGAAAGCACATTACTCTCCTTCTTTGTCTTTATGGTTGTTGATTTTCTTATTTATTCCAATTACTTTTGAAGAGCTAGGATACTTTTCCCTAAGTGGCACGTAATTTAGAGCAGTGTTTCTCCAAGCACCTTACAGAACAGAGAGCCAAAACACCAGAAAAACCTGGACAACTTATTAAAATTTCAGGCAACAGAGTTCAACTCTAAGCCTGATGATGAATATTTTTTGAAGGTAGGGCTATGAACTTCATATTTTGATAGTTTCCTTAGCAGATTTTATGAACATTAAAAAAATTCAAGAATGGACCTTTCTTTACTCTGATTTTTCTCATGTGACTTGTCCTTCTGAGGATTAGAGTATAACTGACTAAAATGTCTGAAAAACGGCATGCAGAGAGTCATGCTGTCAAACATACAGTATTCAGTGGCAACTTGCCCTAACATTAAGGCAAATTATATTCAACCTGTATGTGCTGGTACTCCCAGCAGAGCTGAGTGTTTTTCCTCATTGGCTGAAGGTCTTGTTCTGATAGGCCAATGTCTATGAAATACCTGTTGTTGCATATTTCAAATGGCCATTCTGTCTGACACTTTTAGTAATAATCATTGCTGGAGTTAAGAACTCCTGTCCAGTAAACCTTGAGAATTTGGCTGGACTAATGAGTTGGAAAGGTTTAGCTGATCATTTTCGTATGTCTAAATAATGGGTATTGTCATTTTTGCCTTCAACATCTTTGCCAACCATACTTCATATCTGTTTCTTGTCTTCTAAAAAATAGCAACTATTTTTTCATTGCTTCGTTTGAGACATGTTTCTTCTATATTCAATGACGATGTGAGTTGAATAGGAGCCACTGTATTCCTGAATAGGTTTTATCTTCCTGGCTGTGGTTATTAACTTGGTATGGACACCTGACCCAACCTTGGCCAGTTTGATTACCCCTTTGTCCTGTTCACAGTGATTCATGAATGGGCAGCTGAGGTTGAAACTTTTCAATCAGAGACCAGGAAGTCTGAGTCTCAATACTTGCTTGAGTATTTGAGTGGAAACAAACAAACAAACAAACAAACCTGCATGTCTGACAGTCACTGGAGCTTCCACTACATGGAGGGAAGTAGTTTGCTATTGAAAGGCAGCCAATTAAGACAGAATTAAGTCAATACAGATAGAGGAGAGATGAAAAAACAGTGTTGGTTGCATGTCAGCTCTATCTGGGATTTAGCATCTTGCCATTCTCTCATGAAATTAAATGAATTCCCTATTTTGGTTATTTCAAGTTGGGTTTCTCAGTTGCAACCAGAAGAGTTATTTTTTTGTCTTTTGTTTGTTTGTTTGTTTGTTTGTTTTGAGACAGAGTCTCACTCTGTTGCCCAGGCTGGAGTGCAGTGGTGCAATCTCGGCTCACTGCAAGCTCTGCCTCCCGGGTTCAGGCCATTCTCCTGCCTCAGCCTCCCGAGTAGCTGGAACTACAGGGACCCACCACCACGCCTGGCTAATTTTTTGTACTTTTAGTAGAGACGGGGTTTCACCGTGTTAGTCAGGATGGTCTCGATCTCCTGGCCTTGTGATCCACCTGCCTTGGCCTCCCAAAGTGCTGGGATTACAGGCGTGAGCCACCACGCCTGGCCTGTAACCAGAAGAGTTTTGACTGTTACGTCATTGTGCCAAGCATAACCAATGGTGACACAATATCAGGTTCTAGCTCATAACCTATCTGGATTCTGTCACATTCATAACACTAGACAGGGCAAAAGATATTGTGCTATGTGTGAGATATGTCATTGTACTTATCCTTTCAGGGCATATTAAATATCTACCTGTGATGCATAGTTAAGTGACACAATTCCCTCCTCCAGCCCTAGCTCTGTTGCAACACTGAAGCAATCAGAATTTCTCTGGGTTCCAGTTGTCTCATACATAATGAGAGAGCTGATGTTCTTGAGGGTTTAGAAATCTAGTAGTACGTTAGATTATATATTATTTATCAACATATATCTTTGTAGGTAACTGTATTCAAATAAATATGTTATAGTATTTGGAAATTCTAATCATTTAGAAACATGTCCAGATGCCTTATTTTCAATTCCTTAAAGAACCACTGAGAAGTACAAAGTTTTTTCTCACCTCAAAAAGTGTATATCATCCTGAATCATAGTTTCTTAAGGTGAGTGATTGCTATGTAAATAAAGGACTGAAGAATGTTCTGACATAAATGGCTTATGTTACCAACAAATAAATGCACCATTATGAGTATTATTTATGTAGGATGATTGAAAAAACCTAGAGAGTTTTATCATTAGGAGAAAATGTTTTTCATCACTAGTATGTATGTGTGTGTGTGTGTGTGTGTGTGTGTGTATATATATATATTCTAAAAATAAGGGAAGCCAATAAATTTATTCTAAAAATATTTTTTTTTGGAAAATAGCCAATAAATACATTCTAAAAATAAGGGAAGCCAATAAATTTATTTTCCCTTTCCAAGCATCAGGAATAAATTGATCAAGGGGCTGGCTTACACTATAATCACTTTCTTCTGATTACTAAATTTTAAGACTTATTTTCTTATCCTGTTCTTGCCACTATGATTTAGAGAAATATATTCATGTCTTTCCACCATCATTTGAGGGCTCCTTCCATGTGCATCAATAACTTAGAAATAGATCTTAGAAATGTAAGGCCTGAAGAAAGCAACTATATATATTTACCAAACATGAAAGTTTTCTCTGGCATTAAGAAATATGTTAGAGACCAGGTGCAGTGGCTCACGCCTGTAACCCCAGGACTTTGGGAGGCTGAGGCGGGCATATCATGAGGTCAGGAGACTGAGACCATCTTGGCTAACACGGTGAAACCCCGTCTCTACTAAAAATACAAAAAAGTAGCTGTGCATGGTGGCATGCACCTGTAGTCCCAGCTACTCGGGAGGCTGAGGCAGGAGAATTGCTTGAACCCAGGAGGCGGAGGTTGCAGTGAGCCCAGATCGTGCCACTGTACTCCAGCCTTGGCAGTGGAATGAGACTCAGTTCTCTCACACACAAAAAAAGATAGAGCAAACTTTTAAAATTTTATAACAAAGGGTTAAATATTTACTTTAAGTGAGATGAAGTTTTTTTTAAAGAAAAGTAGATGTTTATTATTTTCATAAATTTCCACGCATAAAATGATAGAAAATTCTCTGTAATTACATGCATGTAATCAGAAACAAATATTTTACAATAAGTTCATAATTTAAAATGCTTTTGGGTGGTTTTTTACAATTTAAGGTTAATTTGACTTGGTGAAGTGTGTGTGTATGTGTCTATCTATTTGTGTAAGAATTGGAGCCTTTTGAATAATTAGAAAAAGAAAAAAAAAGTTGGTACTTTGATTTTTATGACCTGCCACCAAGACGTGTGTGAATATGGTTTAGAATGACAAATCAAATATTCAACAAATTAGGATTCTGCTTCCAACAGCCAATAACACTTCTTTGAAAGCAAAGTGGGCCCAGTAATGATGGAAGAATGGCTCTACTGACTAAAAAGGAAATTAAATCAAAATAAAAATATAGCAATTCCAAATGACACAATTCAACAATTAAATATTCAGCAATTAAATTATTTGAAGATCTCTGAATACTTCTATGGGACTCTTGCACCCCAATCAGAGTTGGCTCTTTTCAATTGTGATTTAACTAGAAATTGTGATTTCTATACAGTTCACTCTAACATTTAAGTCTAGCAGATTAAGTTTTCCATGATAAAACAAAGAAATATGTCTCACAGATATGGTGGACTTTACTCAATGTATTAGACAAATTAATCATAAATCACCTTATCCACAGTCCTTTCTGCAAAAACAAACAAACAAACAAAAAACTGAAAGGAGGCAGTGAGGCACAAATAATATTAAGGTGACTTAAGGCAAACCTAAGTTATGAGGAAGTTGTTTTTACACACACACACACACACACACACACAAACACACACACACCCCATCTGGAAGGTAGGGAGAATATTTTCAAAGTGGAGGATAAGGCTAAGACAATTGAAGAGTGGAAAAGCTACATGTAATAGCTCAGCCACACTGGTGGGGAATTCATAAAGAGAATAGTCATGAACTCCTGCTGCTAACATTCTTAGAACGATTTGGACTCGGTCCCTTCCTGTCTTAGTCCCCACAAAATCAAGCTGTATTACAGACCTTAATCTTGGATTTCTCTATACCATTTCTCTTATCATGTCATGTTTCTCCTGAAAATAGAAAGTTCCTTACTTAGGTTCACTTGAGTGAGCTCCTCTTCCTTGCAACTATCAAGAACACTCACTCACATTACTTTTTATTTGTAAAGTTTTATCATTCTTCAGAAGGAATGTTCCCTCCAAAGAGTTTCTTACTCATAGCTGGCTACCAATCTACACAGTAATTACCAAGAAATAAAGGGACCTAAAATATCCTGGAGGAATTAGTTCTGCCAGCACAGTTGATCAGCTGCCTGGTTGCATAACTCTGGGCAAAAAACGTGACAAATGAGTTGTTTTAAACCATTGTTAATAGTTTATTTTCACACTTTAATCTGCACAGATTGTTTTCTCACTGTAGTCTTCTTGTGGAGAATGCCAGCATTCCTGCTGTTACCACTCATATTTGAGATACAAGATGTGGCAGCTCCTGATTTGCTCTGTAGACAATTCACAACATATTTCATTTTACAAACTCTTGTGGATTTCAAAGCCTCTGTGTATGATATGGTTCAAAGGAGAAATGTTTTCAGAGGGGGAATGCTGATTATCATAGCTTCATCACAGGGATTTTTGTGCATTAAAGACTCTAGATGTAAAGTGGATGGGAATAAACATTAACTGAACATCTGCTACAAGCCTGGTGCTTTGTGAAATGTATATAAGTAAACTGTCATTTAAAACTTACAAAACACAGTAAGGTAGATACGATAGTCCCTATTTTAAATAATAGAAAACTATTTTAAAAATTATGTAACCCCCTCCAAATCAGTGAGCTATTAAATAAAAGGCAAGGAGTTCAAATGCTAGGACTTTATTAAGTCTGAAGCCACTTTTCCTCAATATTTTATTCTGCTCCCCAGGAAACATTCATATTGTTTGCAAGGAAGAATTTATTTACCCATTCCCAATTTTGTAGTCAATTAAGTTCTACTTTAAATATTACTTTTTCAGTAAAGTCTTTCCTCTCTACCACCCCACTTCTCTCACCAAGTTAATCTCTTTCCTCTCTCTCTGTGCATATATGTATGTGTGTGTGTGTATGTGTATATATATATATATATATTCATAAATACATAATGCAAGTATATATAATGTAAATATATACACATATGGAGAAAGAAATATATATAAAATATATATGTGCATATATTATGTATATATGAATACTGTGTGTGTATATATATAAAGAGAAATAGCATTGTTCATTATTTTTCTTTTCTTTTTTTGGTAAAACCAATCAGACTCAATCAATTATTCAATCTAATGGCATTTCTACCCATTTGTTCCATATCTGTTTTCACTTTTAGCTGTAAACTAAACCAGGACAGGAACCACATCATTTTGTTCCCTTTGGATCCTCACACAGTCCCTGGTACAAAGTTAATGGTCAAGAATATTTGATGACAATTAGTGAATCTACTTGTTATCAACTATATATGTGGGTGACAGGTGGCATAGGAGCTAGGGAATATTTCATTTTTTGTATTTCAATGTTTGTGTTCTTTTTTGTTTTGTGGGATACTTAAAATAATTTTCTAATCTGGAATTATGAAAAAATCTATATTTTGTTTTAAATTATTGGGATATTTTAAAAAATAAAACACATTTTGTGAATGAATAAGCTGATGTTCTCTCCATTTCTCCGCAATCAGTCAATTATCAAGTTCTGTCAATTTGATTCCTATTACATCTCTCTTTTTCATTCCCTTATTTTTATTCTAATTGCCATTACTTTATTTTGGATTCCCTTTCATCTATCCCATTAGCTTTGGCAATGTGAAGATCCTTGGTGACATTTGCAATAATGGTGGTTATTAAAGCTTCATAGGATTAGGTATAAGAAAACATAAAATAGAAATTTGAGATGGGTTTAAACAACTCTTGGACGAAGTCTTGCTATCAAGGAGAGCAGAGAAAAAAAGGATGGAAGTTGGAGGGAGCTATGAAATCATAAAATGGTTAATTTCAGTATAATAAATATTCTAGCATGTTTACTGATGAGAATGATTCAGGATGGAGGGAAATGTGATGTTTGCAAGAGAGGGTAAATAATTGCAGATGACAACTTCTTGATGTAGGTAAGAAGAGATGGAGTCTAGGGCACAAAACTGTCAAGAACAGTTTATTATTTGTAATTAGTGGTGTAGCAGTCATACAGATAAAGACATAGGGAAGACCTTATATTTGTCACTGAAAGGTAAATAAGAATATAAAGTTAAGGCAAAATCGGTGTTCAAAATTATGTATTTTTTTCTATCTATACTCAGCTATATGGATATAATCATGAAATGAATGGGGCATAGGCTGAGGTTGAGGTAAGAGGTTTGCCAAGTGAGTATTACATGATCAAGAGATTGATGGGATAGAGAGTTGAGAGCTGACAGAGGAGAAAGTTTACAATAAGTGACTATGTAATCTCACCTAGAAAGGGAAGGCACTTGAGGATGTGAGGGTATGATGGACAGTGAAGTGGTGAACTGATAAAAGGAATGAGAGGTCTGAAGGGGCCAAATGATTGTTTAAGTGGAAGTAGTAAACATAATTATTTGAATGGAAAAGAGGCTTTCAGCAGAAAATGGCTTACTTGAAATTGAGATTGTGATGAAGGTAGAATAATTGATAATCACAAGATTCAGGCTATTACCACAGGAAAGGGTGGCTAAGATGGGATGGAGTACAAGTTCATGGGAAGCTTGGAGGTAAAGAAACTGAGAAGTCATAATATTGGATGGATCATTGATGTATATATGGTTATCACCAAGACATTGACTGAATAAAATAAATGAGGAAGACCGTGCCAGGAAGATGAGGGGTTATTAAAAGACGGATGATTACAATGGCTAAAAAAGGATGTCATGAATGCTTTACTCACTAATGTCTAAATGTTTTAGTCTTCCACTTGAAGGCTTTGATAGAGGCAGGAGGCAGACAGGGATAGGTCCCTGGTGAAACTCCACCTTCAAGCTGAAAAGCCTGAAACCCATGGCCCAAAGTGAAAACTTCTATTCCTGTCTGCCCTCTCTTTCCCAATTGGTTCTTTCTGAAAAACGCCTTCTTACCAACTGAATGTTGCCTTTTCCAAAACTACCTATAGCCCACCCTACCCATCATCCTGTGCCTATAAAGACCCCAGACACAGTCAGTAGAGGATAGAGAGGTGACTTGACTTCAGAGAGACAGCTGGACTTCAGAGCAGAGACAACTTGACTTCAGGGAAGATCCAGCTGGACTTTGTGGGGAGACTGCCTGCCTGTCCTGTCCCCTCTCCTGCTCCCCTGTCTGCTGAGAACCATTTCCATTGCTAAATAAAATTATCCACTTTTGCCATCCTTCAAGTGTCTGTGTGACCTTATTCTTCTTGGATGCTGGACAAGAGCTCAGGAACCACCGAGTACAGGGACCCAAAAATGGCCATCACACTGACCCTTTGCCCTTGCCAGCAGAGGGAAGCCATCCCATGTGATGAGGCAAGGGGCTAAGTAAGCTGATAATACACTGCACTCTATGGGTAGTGGAGCGAAGAAGTCATTGTAACACCCCTTCTTGAGCTTCACCGTTGCAGGCACCCTCACCTGGGCACTGCCGCAGGATAGTAAATGGAGCTCGCTCCTGCCAGCACCTGGAGCAGTGGCTGGAAGGATTCCACACTCACTTACTCACATGCTCCCTTCTGTAAGGGGTTGAGCACAGTGGGCCGAGTAAACGGGGCGCCCCTGTTGCAAGTCTGACAAAGCGGTCATGAAATATTCTGCATCAGCTCCAATGTTCTAGTCCTAAGTTATCTTTCCATATTTTGCCTCAAATTCTTCCCATTTATGCATGCAACATTCCATGTAATAGGAGTGCTTGCTATTTTCCAAATATGCTGTATTCTAAATGTATTATGAGCCTGTATACATGCTATTGGTCCTTGTCTAAAAATATCTCAATAAGATCATATGCATACTAAAATTCAGTTTATGTTTCACTTCAAATTGTATCTTATAAAAACATTTAAAAGGAACACAAAAATAGGGCCTTCATTAAAAACCAGAAGCCAACCCCCACCCCTCAAAACCCCACCAAAATGAAAACAAAAACAAAAACAAAAAAATCATCACCATCACCACAACAGAAAACAACCTTCTCTAATTCCTCCCGCAAGAAATCTTGTGCCTTACTGCAGATTCCCCATCGTGGTTTCTCTTTCTTTTCTTTTTTCTTTTCTTTCTTTTCTTCCTTTCCTTTCCTTTTCCTTTTCTCATTTTCTTTTCTCCCTTCCTCTTCTCCCTTCCCTTTCTCTCTTTCCCATTCTTTTCTTTCTCTCTTTTTTTGTGATGGAGTCTAGCTGACACCCAGGTGGGAGTGCTGTGGCACAATCTTGGCTCACTGCAGCCTCCACCTCCTTGGTTCAAGCGATTCTCTCGACTCAGACTTCCAAGTAGCTGGGACTACAGGCATGTACCACCATGCCCAGCTAAAAAATTTTTTGTGTGTATTTTTAGTAGAAATGGGGTTTCATCATGTTGGCCGGGCTGGTCTCAAACTCCTGACCTCAAGTGATCTGCCTGCCTCAGCCTCCCAAAGTGCTGGGGTAACAGGTGTCGCCACTATGCCCAGCTGCCCATAATTGTTTATTTCTTATGATACCAATCATGTTCTGCCTTATGATACAGTTATTTAAATTATCTTACTGGTCAAAACCATCATCATCAAATCTGAATGCTCCTATCTAACCCACTCTACTGCAAATTTCCCTTTAGTTTTTCTTTGTTTCTGATGCCTTCCTAATTTATCCTTTGAACCCCCAGGCCAATATATGCAAACACATCTTATTGTACAACTGTATTCTTCTTAACCCTACCCACTCATCATAATAAAACTGCTTTTCCAAAATCATATCTATTTGGCTTTCATTACTCAACAGAATGAAATGGTAGCATATTGTCAATCAATGTCTTTCTCCAAAAGTCCTTTCAGGGCTCTAGATCAACCCTTTAATCTGTTCATCTGTTCTCCTCCTACTACTACTAGAGTTTTTGTGCTGAAAGCAAGTAAGCAAGCAAAAAGGGACAGCAAACAACAAAAATAACAAACCTTTTCAATACTAATTAAAGGACTCTGTCTACTCAATAATGTTTTAAGGCAAAATTTGAATCCCCTAGTATTGCATTCGAGCCCATCCAAATTTGGATTTTACTTCTCTTGTCAGTCCTATACTTACTGATACCTCTCCTCACAAATCTCACACCTTAGCTACACAACACTTTTCTCCACTCCATAAACTAACCATGACACTTTACAGCCACATATTTTTGCCTTTCCCTGTAATTTTTAAACCTTATCTCTGTTTAATAAACTATAATTCAGCTTTTAAAACCATACTCAAATTCATCTCTCCATCTTTAGAATAATTATATTCACTCTATTCTTTGTTTTCACAGTACAAAGTTCAAATCATTATCTTAGTACATGTCTCATTGCATTTTAATGTTGTTTACTTGTCTATCTCTTTCACTGCACTGTAGTTTCCAGCAGTGAAGAAATGAAGTTTATTCTTTGCACCTGATGTGACTGATCATGGATTTATTAACTTCTATCTGGCTACCTGTTACTCTTTGGGCCCTCCATGGTCCACAGGTTTCTCTCATTGACTATGTGACTTCATTTCTCTATTAAAATTTTCATGCCTGCAATCCCAGCACTTTGGGAGGCCGAGGTGGGCGGATCATGAGGTCAGGAGATCGAGACCATCCTGGCTAATACGGTGAAACCCCGTATCTACTAAAAATACAAAAAAATTAACTGGGCGTGGTGGCAGGCACCTATAGTCCCACCTACTCGGGAGGCAGAGGCAGGAGAATGGCGTGAACCCGGGAGGATGAACTTGCAGTGAGCCAAGATCGCCCCACTGCACTCCAGCCTGGGTGACAGAGCCAGACTCCATCTCAAAAAAATACACAAATACATAAAAAATAAATAAATTTGACCTGTCTTGGATCTTTTCTGATCAGAACAGATTTTCCTTAGTTTTAAGTTTGAGTCTGTTTCAAGAGCAAACTGTGATTTCATAATACCTGTATTCTTTTCAGTATTTCTTCTCTGTGTTGCTTCTTTTTTCTTTCCACAGACATAATTCTAATTAAAACCTTCACTACCTTTGCCTTTATCATGGTGTATTCAGCCTCCTGCCAGCTGTCTTTTTACCCCAATCCATTCTATACTTTGACTTCATATTTATCTTTCTAAAATAGCATTTTTATCATTTATTTTTCTTTCTTGTAACATCAGTGGTTCCCTGTTGCCTTATGATGAAATTCAAGCTCTTTATTTTTGTATGCAAATCTTTGAAAACCTGCCCCAATGCTAATTCTTCAACCTTAGTTTCCACTTGACTACCATAGCCCCGGCTCTGTTCAGACTATCTTCTAAATAGCTTTAGTCATTCGTTTGAAGTTCATTAGTCATTCACTGAAGTTATCAGCTTATATATGCACTCAAGTATTCTCCATTAACAAGGCTAGATAACATTCCTTTTCCTCAAGAATATTTTCTATAACCACAGTAATTATGTTTAGCTGTATATAATTACATCGATGGATCCATCCTACAAACTCCTAGGCATTTACTATTTACACTTTTCCTATCTACTTAGTAAAGTTGTATGACTGCAATTTTGTTTCTCTAATGAGATAATTTATTGTTAACTAGAGCCTCATCTCACACTTAGTTTTGGCTGATATGGGCTCTGATTATGGTAAGTTATTTGCATATAGATAATTCTACTCTGCTACAAGCATAGTGATAAGAGCTAGTTTTAAACATTGATTATACTTATGGCATAGAATGATGACCAATCCTCAAATACATTAAAGAATTTATAATTACTCAGGACCAGGAAGACATCACAAAACTTCTAGGATTTTCACCAATTCCTCATAAGAACTTTCAGATTTCAGTATCATTTGGAGAGTGTGATGGTTAATTTTAATTGTGTCAACTTGACTGGATACGTTAAGCAATACCAAGAAACGTGGTAAAGCATTATTTTGGGGTGTGTTTGTGAGGGTGTTTCCAGATGAAACTAGCATGTGAATCTGAGTGGACTAGGTGGGAAAGATCCACCCTCAGTGTAGGCAGGCACCATTCAATTGGCTTGGGACTCAGACAGAACAATAACAGAGGAAAGGCATGTGTCTATTTCCTGGAAATGAGATACACTTCTCCTCTACTGCCTTTGGACACCAGAGCTCCAGGCCTCCTGGCCTTCGGACTCCATGGCTTACACCAGTGGTCCCCCTGGGTTATCAGGCCTGTGGTCTCAGACCAGGAGTTACACCATCAGCTTCCTGGGTTCTGAGGCCTTTGGACTTGGATCGAGCCACACTATGAGCATTCCAGGGTCTTTAGCTTGCAGATGGTTTGCCATGGGACTTCTCAGCTTCCATCATCACATGAATCAATTTCCCTAATCAATTCTCTTTCATATATGTGTGTGTGTGTGTATATATATATATATATATATATATATCCTATTGGCTCTTTCTCTCTATAAAACCCTAACTAATACAGGTAGATTGAATTATCAATTTTTGATTATATATGGTTGTATTCATGTGTATATGAAAAAAAGTTACTTTTAAAATAGATTAACCCTTTAATATATTGCTTTTCTGTTTATACTTCAATCATTAAAGGTATTTTAGCTCTTTGACATTGATAAAATGAAATTCTATCTTAAGCCTGTTAATGAGGATGAAGAAATCACAAAGTACTTGTTTTCACTTTCATAAAAGAATCAATTTTGTCTTGGCAATATATAATAAGAGGACTAAATTAATCAGTTTCCTTATTATCCTTTTAGGCTGAACATATTATCAGGTATTAAGCTGAAATAAAAAACAAAAAGAATCTTACCATCAAATAAATTATTGACTATATTCATATTAAAAGGCAGCAGCAACTGGGAACTGCTATTTAATGGACTGCAAAATACGTACTTTTTCTTCTTCAAAAAAGAAGTAATCAGAATATTTATAGTGGAAGGGACCCTCCTTTGCAAATCGTCCTAGTTCTGTTTGTGCGCGATCAAATGCTTTCAGAAGCATCTCAGAAGCAGGGCTGTACCCACAGTAAGTATTCATTGCTAATACACCGGTTACACAAATATTGAATCTAACCCTGAAAAGTCTTTGGAAATCTATTTGCTTGAGGTACAAATTGTCCTATCTCAGCTCAACAAATTTGCTGGTTTCACAGGCTTAAATAAGTTTAGTAACATCAAGGTTTGAGGAAGCAAGCAATTTCATTATACATTCACATATAATCTATGAAGTCTTGTTGCTTCTAGTTGTATTATGATTTTTAAAATATAGCTGGTAATTGGATTTTTAAATAGCTGGTAATTTGATTTTTGTTGGCTGGAATCCACTTCTCCCTTACATTAAAGTCATCTTTTCAAAAACTTTCTTAAGTTCCAGAGAGAAATTAATACCTAAAATGACAGCTAGAGGTCTAGCATTACCTTTCAGGTTATGCACTAATCATTGTTACAAGACTAATGATGAATAATACCCAATACTTATATGGGGTTTACTATGTGTTAGGTACCCTTGTAACTCCTTTAGCTATAACAACTCTACTCCTCATAACCCTTTGAATTGGTTTGACTCATGGAAGTTGAAAAGTTACCTAAAGTCACATGGCTCTTAAATGCCAGAGCCAGGACTTGAATTCAGGAAGTCCGGCTTCAGAGTCCATGCTCTTCTCCACAATGATGAATAATGAATGAATTGTATTCCATGTATTCTGCAGTATATCAGTGCTTTGGATCCAAAGACATTTTTCTACAGAATATTGTAAATAGTGGTTGGGTTGCTATTTAACACACAAAATACAACTTAGTTCATAACAACTAAGTTATGAACTATGAGCTTGTACTATGAAGAACTCAGTTCATACCACTAACATAGTTATTTTGGGTACTAGGACATAGGAGCAAGGATCTTATGGTAAAGAAGAGAAGAAAAAGTAAACTACCTCCCCTCCATATACATGTATCCTTCATAGAAGCCTGCCTCACACAAAAACATAAAAGATGAAGGTGGGTTTGTTTTTTGGTTTGGGGATGTTCTACTTCTTCTTCATTTACTTTTCTTCCCCAGTGCCTTTGTATGTTTTTCCCTCTGTCTGCAATGCCAGCCCAGAATTGGGGCAATTCACAAACTCTTTTTCTTTCATCAGCACTGTACTCAAATGTCAACTCCTCTGTGCAAATGCTTCTAAGGGCCCTGTGGAGTTCAGTTCCTGTCCTATTTGTACCTCTGAAATATGATACCTCTTTACTCTTCACACATTGTGGCATGACTTCTTTTGACAGGATCATTAACTTGTCTATCTCCTCTACTAGATCATGAGTTCTTCGAGAGTCAAAGGGCATGCCATTCTTGAATCCCCAGCACCAAAAGAAAAAAGAAAACGAAATGAAACAAAAATCTGTGCATGCCAGATTCTTTACACTTATAATTATTCTAATCTTTACATCAATTTCAAAAGGAGAGAGAAACAGTGTTACGTGAATCAAGAATCTAAAGTTTAGAGAGAGTGGGTCACATAGTTAAAGCGGGGCAGAACTGGGATAGCAACCTAATTAAGCCTACCTCAAAAGCTCTCTGCCTGACCTTATAGAAAAACACAAATAGATTTCTTTAAATGATGCCAAAGCCCTCTGATGATGATCATCACAATTCTATCCTACCTCTCTTCCCATATAAACCAACTTCCTTTCCTCTTTGGGAAGCTGTCTCAGTACAATGTTAAATGTCATAAAATAAGCAGTCATGCGTCACTTAGTGATGAGGATTAATGCGACATTAGGCAATTTCGTTGCTGTTAAAACATCAGAGGGCACTTACAAAAACCTAGATGATATAGCTTGCTTCATACCTCGGCTATATGGTATACCCTATTGTTCCTAGGCTGCAAACCTGCACAGCATGTTACTCTACTGAATACTGTAGACAATTGTAATACAATGGTAAGTATTTTTGTGCCTAAACATAAAAAAGGTATGATAAAATATGATATAAATAACAATGGTACACCTGTACAGGGCATTTACTACAAATAGCACTTGCAGGACCAGACGTTGCTCTGGGTGAGCCAGTGAGTGAGTGGTGAGCGGATGTGAAGCCTAGGACACTACTGTACATTACTGTTGACTTTATAAACACGGCACACTTAAGATATATTAAGTTAATCACAAATATATTTTGTTCTTTAATAATAAATGAACCTTAGTTTACTGTAACATTTTTACTTTATAAACTTATTTTTAACTTTTTGACTCTTTCATTATGACACAGCTTAAAAGACAAACATATTGTACAGCTGTAAAAATGTTTTCTTTCTTTAGATCTTTATTCTATAAGCTTTTTTCTATCTTTAAAATTTTTATTATCTTTTGCAATTCTTTTGTTAAAAATAAAGACACAACACACAAATTAGCCTAGCCTACACAGGTTACACTGAAAGTCACTAGGCGACTGGAATTCTCAGTTCCATTATAATGTCATGAGACCACTGTCATATATGTGGTCCATCACTGACTGAAACATTGCTATGCAGCACATGACTGTAATTCAACCAAAATACAGTAAAGTGAAATTACTGCACTGAAATTCTCATTGTTGAACCTTATTTTTAATAACATAATTCTTATTCACCTAAACAACAATTTAGTGGAATTTTAGCCTGACTAGTGTATTTGTTATGTCATGGGGAGCAAGAGATCTTTGACAATGTGTGATAAGGTTTTGCTCTGTGCCCCCACCTAAATCTTATGTTGAATTATAATCCCCATATGTTGAAGGCGGGGCCTCATGAGAGGTAACTAGATCATGGTGGTGGTTTCTCATGGTTTAGCACCATCCCCCTAGTGCTGTCTCATGAGAGTTCTAACAAGATTTGATGGTTTAAAGGTGTGGCATTTCCACCTTCACTCTCTCTCTCCCCTGCCACCATGTAAGACATGCCTTGCTTCTTGTCTGTCTGCATTCTGCCATGATTGTAAGTTTCCTGAGGCCTTCTCAGCCATGCAGAACCATCAGTCAATTAAACCTCTTTTATTTATAAATTACCAAGTCTCAGGTAGCTCTTCATAGCGGTGTGAAAATGAACTAATATAAAAATTGCTACCAGGAGTAAGATATTGCTGTAAAGACACCTGAAAACGTGGAAGTGACTTTGGAACTGAGTAATGGGCAGATGTTGGAACAGTTTGGAGGGCTCAAAAGAAGACAGGAAGATGTGAGAAAGTTTAAAACTTCCTGGAGACTTGATGAATGGTTTTGGCCAAAATGCTGATAGTGATATGGACAATAAAGTCAAAGCTGAGGTTTCTCAGATAGAGTTGAGGAACTTATTGAGAACTGGTGCAAAGGTAACTCATGCTATATTTTAGCAAGGAGACTGGTGGTATTTTGCCTCTGACCTAGATATCTGTGGAACTATGAACTTGAGAGCAATTATTTAGAATACCTGGTGGAAGAAATTTCTATGCAGCAAAGCTTTCAAGATGTGACCTGGCTGTTTTTAAAAGTGGCCAGTCATATGAGTTTACAAAGAAATGGTCTGAAATTCAAGCTTATGTTTAAAAGGAAAGCAGAAAATAAACGCTTGGAAAATTTGTAGCCTGACCATGAGATAAAAAAGAAAAACCCATTTTCTGGGAAGAACTTCAAGCCAGCTGCAGAAATTTGCTTAAGTAGGAGCTATATGTTAATAGCCAAGACAATGTGGAAAGTGTTTCCAGGGCATGTTAGAGGTCTTTGCAGCAGCCTGTCCCATAACAGGGCTAAGAAGGAAAAATAGTTTCACAGGCCATGCCTGGTGGCCAGTTGCACTGTGCAGCCTCGGGACATGGCACTCTGCATCCCAGCTGTTCCAGCTCCAGCCATGGCTAAAACGGGCTAAGATACAGCTCAAGCCATTGCTTCAGAGAGTGAAAGCCCCAAGCCTTGGTGGTTTCCACGTGGCATTGAGCCTGTAGGTCTGCAGAATACAACAGCTGAGGTTTGTGAACCTCTGCCTAGATTTCAGAGGAGGCTTAGAAATGCCTGGAAGTCCAAGCAGATGTCTGACGCAGGGGTGGAGACCTCATAGAACATCTCTACTGGGCAATGCAAAGGGGAAATGTAGGGTTGGAGGCCCCACTCAAGAGTCCCCACTGGGATGCTGCCCAGTGGAGCTTTGAGATGAGGCCCATCATCCTCCAGACCCCAGAATGCTAGATCCACCAACAGTTTGCACCATGTGCTTAGAAAAGCTGCAAGTACTTAATGCCAGCCTGTGAAAGCAGCCAAGAGGGCTGTATCCTGCAGAGACAAAGGGACAGAGTTGCCAAAGGCCTTGGGCCTCCACCCCTTGCATCAGCACTCCCTGGATGTGAGACGTGGAGTCAATGGAGATTATTTTGGAGCTTTAAGATTTAATGACTCTCTGGATGGTTTATGGACTTGTATGGGGCCTGTAGCCCCTTGGTTATGACCAGTTTCTCCCTTTTGGTATGGGAGCATTTACCCAGTGCCTATACCCACATTGTAACTTGTAAGTAACTAACTTGTTTTTTTATTTCACGGGCTCCTAGGTGGAAAGGACGTGCCTTGTCTCAGATGAGACTTTGGATTGGACTTTTGAGTAATGCTGGAATAAGTTAAGACTTTGGGAAAAGCATGATGGGTTAAGAAAGCAAGATTGGTTTTGAAATGTGGAAGGACATGAGATTTGGGAGGGGCCGCGGTAGAATGATATGGTTTGGCTCTGTGTCCCCATCCAAATCTCATCTCAAATTGTAATCCCCATATGTTGAAGGTAGGGCCTAGTGGGAGGTGATTGGATCAGGGGGGTGGTAGAGTTCTCATGAGATCTGATATTTCAAAGGTGTGGCTTTTCCCAACTCGCGATCTCTCTCTCCTGCTGCCACGTAAGATATGCCTTACTTTTCCTTCACCTTCTGCCATAACTGTAAGTTTTTTGAGGCATCCCCAGCCACGTGGATCTGTGAGTCAATTAAACCTCTTTTCTTTATAAATTACCCTGTCTCAGGTACTTCTTTATAGCAGTGTGAGAATGGGCTAATACAATGGGTCTGCCGCATTTTGCCAAAACTACCTTAAAATCCATTTCTAAGCTTAGAGCTCACAATATGGGTACAGGCACTGGGTAAATGCTCCCTTTCCAAAAGGGAGAAATTGGTCAAAACCAAGGGGCTACAGGCCTCATGCAAGTCCGAAAACGAGCCAGGCAGTCATTAAAACGTAAGCTCCAAAATAATCTCCAATGACTCCATGTCTCACATCCAGAGCATGCTGCTGCAAGGGGTGGACTCCCATTAAACCTTAAAGCGCCAAAACTGTTCTTATGTTTTTTGTAAAAAAAAAACTTTTCCTCCTTTGCCTCTAAATTTCCAATTCTCTAAAAGCTTCTTGAGGCTATGTCTTTTATTTAAACAAAGGCAAAATCAGAAGGGCCTGCGGCAATGGCCGACTTGTGGAAGGGCAGCTATTTATACATATGAATCATTTGCAAGTTGCCCATCTGTAAAATTTGTACTACAAGTTATTTGATCACCATGATGTTAGGATGACAGTAAAATATTTATGTTGGCTTTCATTTATTTATTAAACAAGTGGATGATGTAAATATTCTTTAAAATTCTGGATTCAGCATATTTTTTTTCCTTTATAACCAATATTTTTAACACTCTGACACTGTGAAGGAAAACCTACATTTAAAGAAAAAAGCATGCTATAATATTAAGTAGACTCTACTAATTATTAAGAAAATTAGTCTCTGCATTCTCTTGATAGATAATTTGACAGATAATTAACACACTATGTAGCAGGCAACCTTACATTCCCTATAGATGAATTCTGTCATTCCGACAGATCACCATAACCCCAATTTTACTTATGTGGGTTGCTCCATATAGTCTTCCTAGTTTCATAAATTTGATGGATTCTTTCCTTCTTGCAGAAGTGAGAAGAATATCCTTCATGACATTTATTCCAATGAAACTGGGCAGGAACTAATACTGATTACTTCTGTAAGGATCATCTCTAACCACACCCTTTAAATTTGATTTCTGGTAATATTGATGAAATTAATCCAATATCCCAATGTAGCACTGATATCCTAAGGGAGGCAGGATGATACAGTAGATAAAACAATCACCGTGAGTTAGATCTGTAGCTCGAGACCTCTCACCAACTATGACCTTGTGCCTGTCCCTTAACTGATGTTAACTGAGCAATAAAGTATAAAGATTAGGCGTGTACTCTTTGCAGTCAGACAAGCATGAGCAATAGGACTTGCTGCCTGTCTAAATCACAGGTTCTTTACCTAGAAAAAAAAGATAAGCTCAAAATGCTGTTTTGCTGTGATGACTAAATGAAAGAATGTATGAAATGCTTTTAGCATAGTGGCTGGTGCAAAGGAAGAATGTTAATCATTATCAAGCCTTCCACTTAGGCAGCTTGCTATCTCTCCTCTACAGCTCCAAAGATGAGCGTTATAAAATAGCAAGATGAATCACTGAGTTTTAAAATATTTTGAATAATGGCAGGATTATATTGGTATAACTGAATTACCTCTCAGTATGTCTACTTTGAAGACACAACACTCATTTGAATATATGAGGCTCAGTACATTTGTTAAGAAATAAATGTCTTGTTATTTTATGGTAAATGTGCAAAATATCTCATTGGAGTGAACTCTGGAAGAAACACTTCTAAATATTACAAATTACTTTCCAGAAGTAGTTTTAGAATCCTCAATATCCTGTACGTGATTTTTAATACTGGATAATAAAAATGATCACAAAATAATAAATCCAGAATCCTTGCAGGATAATGGAAATAAAATATCCACCATACATTACTCAATTTTAGACAAATTAACTGAGACAAAACGTGAGAATTAGTGCAGAGAGAAAAAAATGGAAGGAAATCATTTAAAATGATTCACAGGAAGCCTTAAGGTTATTTTTAAATACCTTACTGGATATTCAGAGAAAAATCAGGTAGAGCATATTAAGAATGGCAATGCAAGGCATGATAAGGAAAACTGAAAACCATAGGAAAATAGGCTCTCTTATTAACAAAAGAAAGACTGTCGAAGCAAAGTGGAAAGAACAACTATCACCTATGGCAGCTCAATTATGAGAATACCCCTCCCAAATAAACATTTTAATCTAAATTTCTATAATTACCTTAAAGGCCCACAAAAACTAGGAATTAAATACATGACAAGTGACCAACTGCAGAAATACTGCGACCACCTGAAAATCCCCAGAGAGCCACAGTTACTAATTGAGATAAAATGTCAGACGTTTCATAATCTGACTGAATATAAAAATTCCTAGTGATGCTTGTCAGAATTACCTGCATTCTCCACTTCAGACTGACTGCATCAGAATATCTAAGGGAGAACCAGGAATCTGTATTTTTAGTGAGATTCCCTCCAACACGATTTTGTTATCGCCTTTCATTCACCTTTTTTTAGGCAACCCTATCTAGTATAAAAGTGAGATTTCAAAATATAAAGAAATATGTATCTTTTTAAAAAAACATGTCGCAAGTAATGATTAGTTCTCACCATGGAAATGTACGGAAACACTCAGTACATTTTACTGTACACACAATTAAAATATACTGAATATATGTGAAATATCTGGGAGTACTGTGGAAAATGCAGATTCCTAAGATATATGGGGTGAGGATAATTTGTATACAGATCATAACTGGTCTCGTTCTTCCAATCCTCTTCCAATCCTCTCTCTGAGGAAATACCACAAACAAGATGGCCCTCTCTAGGTATGTCCAGATGGTGCATTTGAAAACCCTGGTTCTCCTCAGGCCTCCCAGGGAAAGAGTAGGTTCAAGATTTCATTCTCTTCGGAAATTTTCTGAAGGACTCTGCTTTTCAAGGTCACTGAACACTCTAAGAGACATTGCATAGTCTGCTAGCTGGGTGTGGTTCTGGGAAGACCTGACAACTCAGTGGAAATGGAAGTGCTTCTCAACTTTAGAAAGAGAGAGCATGTGGATTTAACTATTCCTAGTACTTTCAGCTGGGAGAGGGCTGCTCTTGTATCCTGGTAAGGTTGAGGCGCAGGGACACGCCTTGTATTTCCAAACAAAGTGCTTCTTGCTGATTTATTCACCTTACACAATTCTGGAGTGAAAAAAGGCTGCTTTCTAGGACTGCCCCAGAAACTCTGGGCAGATCTGAAGTATGACCCAATATTTTTACATTTTTTTATTTTTATTTATTTATTTACTTATTTTTTGAAACAGAGTCTCGCCCTGTCGCCCAGGCTGGAGTGCAGTGGCGCAATCTCGGCTCACGGCAAGCTCCGCCTCCCGGGTTCACGCCATTCTCCTGCCTCAGCCTCCTGAGTAGCTGGGACTACAGGCACCCGCCACCACGCCCGGCTAATTTTTTTTTTTTTTTTTTTTTTTTTTAATAGAGATAAGTTTTCACCGTGTTAGCCAGGATGGTCTCAATCTCCTGACCTCATGATCCACCTGCCTCAGCCTCCCAAAGTGCTGGGATTACAGGCGTGAGCCACCGCTCCCACCCGTTTTTTTTGTTTTTTTTTCTTAAGCATTGTCAATTATCCTGATACAAATGTTTGGGGATCACATTATTGAGTGCTGGCCTGCTAGATATAATTTATGCAGACTTTTAAAATCTTTTGATAAATTTTTTTAAAATTAAATATTATAATTTAAAAATGTTTATTGCTAAATAATGCTAATGATTATCTTAGTCTTTAGTGAGTTATAAACTTTAGCCATAACAAAACATTATTCTTTGACCATAATTTCGATTTATATAATTTCAATCTGTGGGAGAATAATGTTTTCTCATGGGTAGCGAAATACCTTAGATACGGGAAGCTATGTGTTGGCAAAATGACATAGTCTTTAGAGATCGAGTTAGGGCTGGCATTTGTTGATTATTTTGTAGAGTTTTTTGTTTGTTTGTTTTTTGTTTTTAATGTGTGTGACGGAGTGTCACTCTGTCACCAGGCTGGAGTGCAGTGGCACGATCTCAGCTCACTGCAACCTCCGCCTCTCGGGTTCAAGCGATTTTCCTGCCTCAGCCTCCCCAGTAGTTGTGACTACAGGCGCGCACCACCACGCCCAGCTAATTTTTGTATTTTTAGTAGAGATGGGGTTTCACCGTGTTGGCCAGGATGGTCACGATCTCCTGACCTCATGATCCACCTGCCCTGGCCTCCCAAAGTGCTGGGATTACAGGCGTGAACCACCATGCCCGGTCTTGTAAAGTATCTTAACATGAGAAAGGGTGAATAAAATTCTCAACATCTCAGGTAATACTGAGCTCTACTGGGTAGTGAGTGAAATGTCAAGCTGGTAAATACGATTTGCATGGAGATATCATAAGGCTGTGTGGGTGGTATTATGAAAGTGGCAGATGAATTTCAATATGGACAAGCATAAGGAAAAGCTTTTAGAATAAAATCTAAACTATGCTTATTATATGGTAGGCTTTATTCCAGTTTATTGTAAGTAACTAATTTCATGATCTTTGGCAAATCATTTGCATTCTTGGAGACAGAGCTAGGAGTTAAGAGGGTACTTCATGAAGACAGAACAGAAAGAAAAATTATGGAGTCAGAAAACTGTGAGGAAGGCTTGGAGTGAAAAACTATTGAAGGCAAGTAATGGACTATAAAGCTCCTCCCAATGTTACCGCCCATCCATCCCCTTTATCTCTATTAAAATCTCAATTCTTGACAGGGGAGTTTACGTTTTTACAATAAACAACAACAGCAATGACAAAAACTACAATATTACCAATCATCTAGAAAAGTAGTTTCTGACTGCAATACCCCCGCACCTCCCCCGCAACACATGCACAAGTAAAATGCTGTGGGAATTATAGGATAAGTACTGTGTTAATAGCTAACCTTTACTAAAGTTTGTTAAATAACAGGCACTTTTCTAAGTGCTTTGGATGTATTCATGTATTTCATCCTCACAGGAACCCTATCAGATAAGTACCAATATTATCCCCATGTTCATTATTGAGACATAAACAGGTAAAGTCGGTTGTCTAAGATTAAGTAGATAATAAATTAAACTCAAGTTTGTGACCAATGTATTTTAAACCAAATTAGGCAAATAGATTGTAGTTTAAATTTGTGTAATCATGTCACTCTTGTGAATTTGCATTCAATAAGTGGCGTTACAATTAGTTTTATGATATTATACTTATGGCCTCACTTCTTTGCTACAATCTAGAATATGGCAATGTTTTTGACAGTGTGTTTTGGATAGGAATACTATTCATCTTAAGTGAGCTACAGAAAGAAGGAGTTCAAAGCCACTGATATGGGTGTCAGGTAAAGGAGTGTTGGAATTAGAAGTGGGAAGAAAGGAATGGCTAAGAATGACATTGCAGATGTAGAATCCACAGTGCTTGCAGAACCTATGGCATAAGTGATCATGAGATTAGGAGTCTAATTGACCCAGAAATGTTTATGTTTGATGACTAGGAGAAAGGTAATGTAATTAATAGCACAAATGTCAGCTGCAGAAGTTAGTTTGTGGGATATTCTAAATTCAAAACAGAGATAGAAGTATTCACTAAAGAAAAAAATATTTAAAAATATCATGGGGGTGAGGAGTGGAGTTTTGAAAGAACACCTACATTTAAGAAGATAAGCCTCCTTAAATTCTTCATGGAACAAAGGCCAAGTGCAAATAAGACACACTGGGTGGACAGACATATAAATGGATAAGTACATGGAATGACTGATTTGGGGGTAGATTGAGAAGAGACAGTGAAAGGTACAAATGAAAGAGTTTGGGAGAACAAACTGCCAGGAAAGATGAAAAGAAAATATTTGCAGCTTTGTACATGGACTACAGAGCGGTCAGAATAATGAAGGCTGAGACAATGCTGACACCTTTGATTAAAAGTAACCTGACTAGTTTAGAGAAAATTCTGTGAGTTGTATGGTGAGGCCCCATGCCCAATTAGAGATTATTAAATGGAAGAAGAGGCATAGCAGCAGCAGAATTGAGTGTCAAGTAGTTTCTCAAGAAATCTGAATATTAAAAAAAGTTAGATAAACGTAAGTGAATATATCTTTGCCACCACTGCAAAAGTCAACTCAAAGTTCACATTCCTTTCTTTCATGAAGAAAGATGTGTTCATAGTTACAATGCCAGTTATCAAAAGTTTATGTCTTTCAGAAATTTATTTCTGAATTACAATGACAGGCAATCATATAGGAAATCAAGAAAAAGACTAAGTTAGATATATATTTAGCAAATTCATCTTGTTATTTGTTACCACGTATTAAGTAATTCTCCCAAGGTTTCAAGACAAATTGAGAGAGTTCATAAAATGCTGCACACTGTTTTATCTGATAAAAAATTCTCTTTATAGACAGAAATTCAAGTTGTTTTTTAAGTATGCTTAGGAAGAAATTGGATTGTATGGAATGACTGATTGCCAAGGACATGTGAGCAAATGAAGTATTCATCTTATTCAAAAATCGTCCAAAATTTTTTTGATGTTTTAATTTAAATTTTTATATCAAGATTATAAGCTTTCCAGAGAGACACATAGAAAAATAAATAAAAGATTAACAAAAGCCAAATTTTCTATATTCCTGCAGAGTTTGATACAAACTTTTTATATTATTCAGCTTCCTTAGCAGAGATAAATGTATCCCAATAGGAGTGTTCCTGTCAAAACTTTCCCAGTCCCCTTAGAACTATCCATAATTGAAAATTCTGAACCAAGATTAGAGAAAGAAAAAGTCTCCTGGATTTAGGATAGAATATTCAGTACCCGAGGAGCAGCACTTAGAAGGGAAATACAAAAAAAAAAAAAAAAAAAAAAAAAAAAAAGTACCCAAAGCTATTCCAATTACCATATTCCTTTATGATAAACAGACTAATCAGGAAATAACAGTGGCTTTGCTACATTCCATTGTTGAGTACCAAACCAAATCTCAGGGATCACAGAGGACAACATGAGATCCATTCTCTCTGTGCTTTGTCTCAGACAAATTACCTAATGTAATTAGGTAATCATGGTCAGAATTTCCATGTTGACACAATTCTTTCCTTAAAATAAACATGTTATCTACACATACATTCTCAGCTGATTAGTTTGCCTGTAGTTCATTAATTAAAAATGAAAATCATAGACTCCCCACCACCAAATAGTAGATTATCTACATGTGTAGCCTTTCTACATTTTTCCCCCACTGTGACAACTGATGAATTTCCTAATAAACAGTAATCTTTCAACACGCATTCTCAATCTATTTCCACTCACTTTCTTAAGTTACTAATTGAAATCTCTCTACTACACTATCTAACTCCAGAGACGGATGGGAAAATGTTGCCTTAGGAAGTAGTGAGATCTTGTAGGGAAAGATCCCACATGGACTGAAAGAAAGGTGAGAAGCCTGGTTGTGTACATGGTGAATTTTGCGAAGATGTGTACAGCTTTGCTATATCTTTGCTTAATACAGGATATTAATATAGCAACCTCAACTTCTTTTTAGTTAATATTTGTTGGCATTTATTTTCCATCATTTTTACTTTAATACTTGTACCATTTTTAAAACAGTGCTTCCCATGCAGAAAACATAAGTGTAGATTAAATAAAAATAAGTTTTTAGAAAGTAATTAACAACTGTGCTGGGAACTCAAATGAGTGGAAAAATGAAGGTACAAAATTGCCAAGTAAGACAGAGGTAGTAAGACCCTGAAGGGAGACTGGAAGCAACACTGTTACAGGGAGAGGCACAGGTGTTTGAGGAAGAAATTATAGCTGTTGAGGAATTACGGCTCGGAAAAATTAGATGTGGTTAATGGGGAGTGTTCAATAAATTCTGCTGTTTTGTGGAACGCAAGCGCCTCATACATTACCCTCCAAGACATTAATAAACATCTGTATTACTCATAAATCCTTTTGGAGTTGGTCTTGTTTTTAGTGCAATAATAGTGAGCTTGGCCTCATCAGGATGCTGAACAAGGACAGGCAAATCCCAGAGTGCGCGGTTACAGACAGAATCTGTGTCAGTTTTTATGGGAATATCCTACCTCATATTGGATTGGAAGCTACACAAGGATAGTTACGTTTGCTTCACCCTCCATTGTATCCCCTGTACCTAACAAAATACCTGATACATAATAGGCAGACAATACACATTTGTGAATGCATGAGAATAATTTTTCACCATGTCAGTAAGGGAAAATGATTGTGTTTCTACGCACTTCAAATCTTCCAAACCTTCACCACTGCTTTGGTAATATGGTCAACAAAGCATTTCATGGTATGACATTCTGTTCCTTCGTATAGCCTTGCATTTTAGTTAATCTGGACTGAAGTGCAATTTTATTATAGTCTGTGTATTCTATACTTGTACTTGATGGATAGTCAAATATCCTCTCTTTATTTAGTCACCTAATACCAAATTACTTCAAAACTAAACTCAGATATCACCTCTTCCAGGAAGCATTCTCTTATGTATCATCTGGGTTGGATGTTTCTATTAGGGGTTACCAAAGTAACATATATCTATCAATCTATCACAGCATTTTGTACAGTAATAATCTTTCTCACTAGTCCACAAGCCCCTCTAAAGCCCCTCCCTACCACAGATACATATTCATATATATGTCACCAAATGCAAAATGGAAGCAACATATAAACTGAATAAATAACAGAAAGTCAACTTTTTTTGTTCAACATTAGGATATTTGAATTTATGTAAGTATTAGAAGGAGTCACTTTCTCTAAGAAATGTGTGCTAGGGCTGTGAAAATGATCTACGCTCACTACCATCTATGTTTCAGATACTTCTTGTGTGCTAGTTCAACATATCTTGACCAGATGTTTTACTCCTACAAATGCTACTGCAACCAGGTTCATGTAGGTGCAACCAGTTTCACAAAGCTGCAACTTGAGGGCAACCTCAAAGAACAAGAGAGTTAAGTGCTAAGAGAATTACACTCTGGGAATGGGAGATGAAAGTCCATCAATACACCCTCCAAGGTGACCATTCTGAGTGCATTTTGTAAGGCTCTGGTCCTGTGGGCTCAAGCTCAAGATGCCTGTAGAAGCGGTCATCTCTGTAATGCATCTCTCCTCTGGCTTCACCTATCAATGCCATCACATCTCTTAATCCTGCTCTCTGGGGATAAATTTGAAATAAACTACCTACAAGCAATTTTTGTTCCCAGCTTTGCTTTAGGGGAACCAAAGCTAAGATAATACATTTTATAAGAGAGAGTTATTAAGTAAAATTCAATTTCTACTTGAAAGGAAAAATACTGCCTTTGCATATGTCCCTTATTATTTTTAGAAAGGTCTACATTTTTTCAGAGAAGTGTAAAAACACAATGTTCTTGAAATGATTTTTTTTAGCCAGCTCTATGGTCACAGCAGATTAAAGATAATTTTTATATTCAAACCCCTACAGAGGCATTTGCCACATTTGCAGAAACATTCATTGTAATGCCTATCTCTGCATTGAGAGGTTTCTAAAACCCAGCAGGAATTTCAGCTGACCGTGGTGCAATATATATTCTATTTTTATTTTCAGAACAAGTGTTTAATATGTGCCATCTACTTAGGAAAACATTCAGGAAAGTGTCCTTCTTATGAACGTACTTTTCAATCATATTTTTTGAAGAGAGATCAAATAGTGATGTGAAAGTTTTTGAATAGCAAGTCCTTAGAGACCTAGAAAGAGACTTAGACTCCCACACAATAGTGGGAGACTTTAACACCCCACTGTCAACATTAGACAGATCAACGAGACAGAAAGTTAACAAGGATATCCAGGAATTGAACTCAGCTCTGCACCAAGCAGACCTAATAGACATCTACAGAACTCTCCACCCCAAATCAACAAAATATACATTCTTCTCAGCACCACACCACACCTGTTCCAAAACTGACCACATAGTTGGAAGTAAAGCACTCCTCAGCAAATGCAAAAGAACAGAAATTATAACAAACTGTCTCTCAGACTACAGTGCAATCAAACTAGAACTCAGGATTAAGAAATTCACTCAAAACCGCTCAACTACATGGAAACTGAACAACCTGCTCCTGAATGACTACTGGGTACATAACGAAATGAAGGCAGAAATAAAGACGTTCTTTGAAACCAACGAGAACAAAGACACAAATACCAGAATCTCTGGGACATATTCAAAGCAGTGTGTATAGGGAAATTTATAGCACTAAATGACCAAAAGAGAAAGCAGGAAACATCTAAAATTGGCACCCTAACATCACAATTAAAAGAACTAGAAAAGCAAGAGCAAACACATTCAAAAGCTAGCAGAAGGCAAGAAATAACTAAGATCAGAGCAGAATTAAAGGAAATAAAGACACAAAAAACCGTTCAAAAAATCAATGAATCCAGGAGCTGGTTTTTTGAAAAGATCAACAAAATTAATAGACCGCTAGCAAGACTAATAAAGAAGAAAACAGAGAAGAATCAAATAGACGCAATAAAAAATGATAAAGGGGATATCACCACCGATCCCACAGAAATACAAACTACCATCAGAGAATACTGTAAACATCTCTACGCAAATAAACTAGAAAATCTAGAAGAAATGGATAAATTCCTCAACACATACACCCTCCCAAGACTAAACCAGGAAGAAGTTGAATCTCTGAATAGACCAATAACAGGCTCTGAAATTGAGGCAATAATTAATAGCTTACCAACCAAAAAAAAGTCCAGGACCAGATGGATTCACAGCTGAATTCTACCAGAGGTACAAGAAGGAGCTGGTACCATGCCTTCTGAAACTATTCCAATCAATAGAAAAAGAGGGAATCCTCCCTAACTCATTTTATGAGGCCAGCATCATCCTGATACCAAAGCCTGGCAGAGACACAACAAAAAAAAGAGAATTTTAGACCAAAATCCCTGATGAACATTGATGCAAAAATCCTCAATAAAATACTGGCAAACTGAATCCGGCAGCACATCAAAAAGCTTATCCACCACTATCAAGTGGGCTTCATCCCTGGGATGCAAGGCTGGTTCAATATACGCAAATCAATAAATGTAATCCAGCATATAAACAGAACCAACGGCAAAAACCACATGATTATCACAATAGATGCAGAAAAAGGCCTTTGACAAAATTCAACAATCTTCATGCTAAAAACTCTCAATAAATTAGGTATTGATGGGACGTATCTCAAAATAAAAGCTATCTATGACAAACCCACAGCCAATACCATACTGAATGGGCAAAAACTGGAAGCATTCCCTTTGAAAACGGGCACAAGACAGGGATGCCCTCTCTCACCACTCCTATTCAACATAGTGTTGGAAGTTCTGGCCAGGGCAATCAGGCAGGAGAAGGAAATAAAGGGTATTCAATTAGGAAAAGAGGAATTGTCAAATTGTCCCTGTTTGCAGATGACATGATTGTATATCTAGAAAACCCCATTGTCTCACCCCAAAATCTCCTTAAGCTGATAAGCAACTTCAGCAAAGTCTCGGCATACAAAATCAGTGTGCAAAAATCAGAAGCATTCTTATACACCAATAACAGACAAACAGAGAGCCAAATCATGAGTGAACTCCCATTCACAATTGCTTCAAAGAGAATAAAATACTTAGGAATCCAACTTACAAGGGATGTGAAGGACCTCTTCAAGGAGAACTACAAACCACTGCTCAATGAAACAAAAGAGGATACAAACAAATGGAAGAACATTCCATGCTCATGGGTAGGAAGAATCAATATTGTGAAAATGGCCATATTGCCCAAGGTAATTTATAGATTCAATGCCATCCCCATCAAGCTACTAATTACTTTCTTCACAGAATTGGAAAAAACTACTTTAAAGTTCATATGGAACCAAAAAAGAGCCCGCATCGCCAAGTCAATCCTAAGCCAAAAGAACAAAGCTGGAGGCATCACACTACCTGACCTCAAACTATACCACAAGGTTACAGTAACCAAAACAGCATGGTACTAGTATCAAAACAGAGATATAGACCAACAGAACAGAACAGAGCCCTCAGAAATAATGCTGCATATCTATAATCATCTGATCTTTGACAAACCTGACAAAAAAAGAAATGGGGAAAGGATTCCCTATTTAATAAATGGTGCTGGGAAAACTGGCTAGCCATATGTAGAAAGCTGAAACTGGATCCCCTCCTTACACCTTATACAAAAAATAATTCAAGATGGAGCAAAGACTTACATGTTAGACCTAAAACCATAAAAACCCTAGAAGAAAACCTAGGCAATACCATTCAGGACACAGGCATGGGCAAGGACTTCATGTCTAAAACACCAAAAGCAATGGCAACAAAAGCCAAAATTGACAAATGGGATCTAATTAAACTAAAGAGCTCCTGCACAGCAAAAGAAACTACCATCAGATTGAACAGGCAACCTACAGAATGGGAGAAAATTTTTGCAATCTACTCATCTGACAAAGGGCTAATATCCAGAATCTACAATGAACTCAAACAAATTTACAAGAAATAAACAAACAACCCCATCAAAAAGTGGGCGAAGGATATGAACAGACACTTCTCAAAAGAAGACATTTATACAGCCAAAAAACACATGAAAAAATGCTCATCATCACTGGCCATCAGAGAAATGCAAATCAAAACCACAATGAGATATCATCTCACACCAGTTAGAATGGCGATCATTAAAAAGTCAGGAAACAACAGGTGCTGCAGATGATGTGGAGAAATAGGAACACTTTTACACTGTTGGTGGGAATGTAAACTACTTCAACCATTGTGGAAGTCAGTGTGGCGATTCCTCAGGGATCTAGAACTAGAAATACCATTTGACCCAGCCATCCCATTACTGGGTATATAACCAAATGACTATAAATCATGCTGCTATAAAGACACATGCACACGTATGTTTATTGCGGCATTATTCACAATAGCAAAGACTTGGAACCAACCCAAATGTCCAACAATGATAGACTGGATTAAGAAAATGTGGCACATATACACCATGGAATACTATGCAGCCATAAAAAAGGATGAGTTCATGTCCTTTGTAGGGACATGAATGAAGCTGGAAACCATCATTCTCAGCAAACTATCGCAAGGACAAAAAACCAAACACTGCATCTTCTCACTCATAGGTGGGAATTGAACAATGAGAACACATGGACACAGGACGGGGTACATCTCACACCGGGGCTTGTTGTGGGGTGGGGGGAGGGGGAGGGATAGCATTAGGAGATATACCTAATGTTAAACGACGAGTTAATGGGTGCAGCACACCAACATGGCACATGTATACATATGTAACTAACCTGCATGTTGTGCACGTGTACTCTAAAACTTAAGGTATAATAAAAACAGTTTTTGAATAAAAATAATTCCATTCTAATCTACGTCTTCCTTAGAGTAATTTTATGTTTCAAGTTTTTTCATATTATCTTAGTATGAATTTTGTAATCACTCTATAAGCACAAGAATTTTCAACAGTAACTATTAACTTAGAATTGCATATATGTGTGTGTGTATATGTATATATAACTATATCTATCTATATGTCTCTCTACGTATATATCGAAAATTTTGCAAGTTGGTGTGAGTTCCCCTGATGCTGTGTCTGAAGAATTGGTTCTCTACTGAGGTGTGTGGGGGTCATGACTGAATGGGGTGTGTGGATGACCAGGCTCTGCTTTGGTGTGAGGACAGGGAGCTGGCTCTCAGGCTGCTGGCATACGAATGCTAGAATAAGAGTTTTGCACTAGAGTGCCACTGTTGACATTTAAAACTTCATCTTTCCACGGAAAGCTCATTCATATTATTAAGAGATGAGTCTTTGGACTTTTTGCATATAGCGATAGAGAAGGAAAAGGTGTTCAACATTTTATTGAAATAGTTGTTCAGTGTGTTATGTCTTCAATCCCCTTTATTGAATCCCATTTCTTACATCCCTTCTTAGTGCTAACTTTGATTTCAGAATGTCCTCAAGCTTCCATTGGGCATATGGTCCTCAACCCTTTCTTTAGACCCCTTACACTTTATTCTGTGTTTTAGTTTTCTCCACTTCTTTAATACTTTAACTCAATCCTTCCTCATTCTTTCAGAAATATATGGAAATGTCTCACTTGGTGATGCTCTTCCTCTCCTTCAGCATTCTCATTAATAATATAGATTTAGTTTTGTAGGATCTGAGAAGGGCGACAGGTAGCAAATGCATGCATCCAGTCCACCATGTTTAACTACATGCCCACTTCTTATGGAAACCCTTATTTCCCCTTGGCTTCCTTGACACTATATTCTACTGTTTTTTTTTTTTTTTTTTTCTGAGACGGAGTCTCACTCTATGGCCCAGGCTGGAGTGCAGTGGCGTGATCTTGGCTCACTGCAGCATCCGCCTCCCGGGTTCCAGAGATTCTCCTGTCTCAGCCTCCCGGGTAGTGGGGACTACAGGCATGCACCACCATGCCCGGCTAATTTTTGCAGTTTTTCAGTAGAGACAGGTTTTCTCCATGTTGGTTGGGTTGGTCTTGAACTCCTGATCTCAGGTGATCCGCTCGCCACGGCCTCCCAAAATGCTAGGATTACAGGCATGAGCCACGGTGCCTGGCCTGTTCTACTGTTTTTCCTATTATCTTATTATCTCTCTACCTTCTCCTCATTATTTTTTGTGGGATTTTCATTATTTACCCTCCTAATGTAATGTAGATTAGTTCAGGCTTGACCTTACAGTCACTTCTCTTCTCATTTCATACTCTCTCCCCGTGATTTCTTAACCACACCAATGCCTTCATTACGATTTTCACTGTAGTGACTCATGTTCCTTTCTGAACACTGTTATCCAAACTACTAATTGTTTTTGTACAGCAGAACTTTAAGAAACACTACATCCAAACTATACTGCATTCTTATTAATGTTATTAGCCTTATTTTTCTTTAGGTTATATTTAATTCAAAGTTTCAGTTAGTATGAAAAACACATCCAGTATAGTATACATGTCTAGGAAGTGGCTTAAAAACCTGGAAAAATATCATATTAAGTCATAATTATATATTAATAATCTGTAGATATTTATTGATTTTCCAGTTTATAGAGTTAGTCTAAGAAGAAGTATAGAAGATAAGATTGTATTTGCTGCACAGAATTGCCAAAATACAAGTAGAAGAAAAAAAACATAAAAGTAGCTTAGGAAAGATGAAGGAAAAAGGAGGAATAAAATGATCCTCATTTCATGACATAAAAAGCTATGAATTAGACTCGAGTTAAAAGAGCAGTAGAAATTTCAGTATATTATTAAAGTTTAAAGGATAAGCAACAGTAAACTTAAAAATGCATATTAAAATGGAAGGAAGAAACTTATGCACACTTATCAAATGAAGGAATAAACAGTTATTGTTTAAGCTTGAGTAACCAAGACGTGCAGATATTTTCTAGCATTTTATGAGAACCTTATGGAACAACAACAACAAAAAAGGGAAGTTAGAAGTTTGGCTCTCCAGCGTGAGATTTAGTGGCAGGGAGAGGTGAGTAGGATTTTGTGGGTTTTTGTTTTGTTTTGTTTTTCTATGTCACTACATTCATTCAATGTGGATTTAAAAAAAAAATGGACAAATAAAAGCCGAGAAAGCAATAGCCTTAGGTAAGTTACAGAAAAAAACAAATGTAAATTTTGTAGCTTCTCTGGTAAAAAATAAGACTGTTACTGAACGATGTAACAGAAATTTAGCAGATGCTTCCTACCTGGTTTTTTTGTTTTTGTTAAATGTCAACCTTAAAATAACAGTTTTGTTTTATTGATTTATACTTGCTTTATTGAGCCTTTTATATAGTACTTCTCAAATAATGACTTTTTGAAAATATAGACGTTTGTAAAAGAAAAAAGTGTCAACAACGTCAACTGCTACAGTCAGTTCAATTAACATAATGACCAAAACAGTATTAGTTTAGTGACCTAGAATTCTGTTATATAAGAAGCAATGACTTATAGTGTAATTTTCTGAAAGGCTGGAGGGAATGATTCTCAATAGTACAGGATGGAGGAATTGGTTGTAACAGGAGGATGGACAGTATACTATCTCTATTGAAATAGGATGGGAGATAACAATGCAGATGGAGATGCAGTTAAGATTTAAATTTTATTAGTAGGAAGATGATTTGATAAGGTACACAGTTTTTGTGAAGTGGTGGTCGTGAGGCAATCCAGTCTAAGGAAAGCACAGAAGTTTCCAAAAATTTAGGGGAGAGTAGCAAATTAAGCTGTCCACAGAAACTTGGGATTGAATGGCAATGTTGAGAGCCCACTTGAAATTGATGATCATGAACCCCTGGTGGGTGTAAACATTTCAGGTAGCTTTCAGAATCTCAAGGCAGTCACAGGGTAAGAGTATAATTGAGTTCACTGGAGTTGGGGTTTTGCCAAACAAGGGCAACAGAAGACACAGAGGCAAAGGGATTTAAATATCAGCGAATGATTATTCATGAAATGTGTGCCCATGGAAGGTAGAACGTAAAGATAAGTGATATATCTGGGCCATGAACCAAAAGTGCAAAACACTCTTGCACATGGACACTGTCTTACACATGTGCTACTCTCCCTTGTGATCGGCAATGTGTAGAAAGAGGTCTCTGGTGTGAAAAGAAGGTGGAAGAGCCTCCTCAACCTCAGGCACTATTCAAATATAAAGTATTATTATACAGATGGATAGTGAAAATGGAATTAATTGTTAGCCAAAAAAGTTATAATTTTCAGATAAGAATGCAATAACGTCTTAAGAAATCAGGGAGAAAGGGGCTCAGAAGTTTTGGAGAAATAGCTTATAGAGAATTAATTCAAAGCTTTTAATTAGATAAACTGTAAAACTGCATTTCTTTATTTTCCATCTATAGACACTCTTACACAATCTTGAAGTTGGCATAATATATACACATTATTCTATGGTGATGTAATACACAATGATGACTTTTAAATCTCTTTCAGTAGCCCAGCTCTCTCTTATGGGTATTAGGAATATGTATCTGATTACCTATTCCCAATTTTCACATGGATTTCCCATGTACCCTGTATCTCATATTCAAAACTGAATTCCTCATTTTTAACTACTTCTCTACTTCTTCAGCTGTGTTCTTTTCTGATGAGGAGAATCATCGCCCATTCAATGAACTCTGCTAAAGCCTTGAAATATTTGTGTATGCTAGCCTCCACCTACTCCAAAGCCTGTAATTCATTAATTATCAAATGCTGGTAATCCTACCTTCTTAATATCCCAGTTAATGTTTCCTGTCCTCCAGTGCTACCATCACTGCTTTTGTTCAGTCATTTATCGCCTCTTGGCGGATTAGTTTTTGTAGCCCCTGAATTGGTTTCCAAGTCAGCATTCTTTTTTCTACTGGTTTCTCCATGCCGTTACCTAACTGTGAGGCCTTTAGCAATTTTCATCATTTCTTTAATACTGGCTTTCTTCTCTTTAAAATGAATATTACATTTTTACCCTTTACCTGATGGTGTTGTTACTATTATATATATTTTATATAATACTGTGTATCTCTATCTATATATGTATATATAATACATACTTCACAGTTTATGAAGTTTCATAGACTTGTTTACATAAATACACATATTTAAATGTTTATATATATACATATAAACATATATACACACACACACACACACGCAAACAACAAAGTCTATATAAACTAAGTAGTAAGCAAAAATCTTGTGATATAGCTCTGGTCATACATTCCAGCAGCATATATTCTAAAACCAAGCATATGAAAAAACAGCACTTAAATAGATTATTTTTTAAGTTTCACAATCAACCAGGATTCTCATGCTTCTTAATAACGCCTTCATAGATTTTTTGCTGCATGACAGAGCAAACTACACATCATATATCAATGGTAATATAGCACTTGAATTCTTTAATGCAATGCTTAACTGTACATGTCTATAAATACAAATGAGGTGTTTAAATTTGAAGATACTTTGGATAGATGGCAATACTATAATTATAGAATCATCACTTCTGCCTGATTTGCACCTAAAAGTTACAGTTCCAACTGCTCCTATTATTGGAAAAGTAATAATCACAATTATAACTATACCATGAAGTATTAAAACCTGAGCATTCAATTTGAAGGCAGCTAAAATAAAAATGTAATGAAAAGTGAACCCATAAAATGCTTGCAATTCATACACATATGTTATATAGAGGCACTGAAGAGCAAAGGAAAGAACTGTGGAGTATTTATTATGGTTCTTTTTATCAGATTCTTTCTCCCTTTCTGGCATTAGAGTAGCATTATGGTGAATATTTCTCAACCATGGATCATCAATTTCTTATGTCTAAACTTTTATTCTAAGGCATGCAAAATCCTGGCCTAAAAATGTAGTGTCTAAATATGGCAAATGCCTTTTTATTTTATTTGTAAGTTCCAGGTCTTAAAAAAAAAACACACACTAATACATCTTTATTTTCCAAATTAGAGTTGGCTGACCATTTTAACGGGCCAAGCAACTTACCATCATTACGCAGAGTGAGTGGCGTTGGAGGACTAAGGACTCTAGCATTCGTCACTGTGTTTTTCACCAGACAAATATAGCTGCCAACATCTGATGTTTGGACTTTAGAAATATAAAGGTTGCCTGTCTCCTGGGAGATGAACCGCCGGCTGTCTTCCGCCACAAAGGAAGGGAACTCATTAAATACCCAGCTATAGATGATCTCTGAAAATACACAAAATTTGGTCAACGAAAGACTTTGATTTTTTCATTAACAGACAAAGCTCAAACAACAAAGCCTTTAGAAAGCATTAGATATATTGCAAGGTCATACATATTTGATCCATGTATCTATATAATTTAGTATTTTATATTCAAAGGATTATTGTTAATGACTACGGTGAGATCTGAAATATTTCTTACGATGTCTGACCTTGACTCGTTTATTTATTCTTTCAATTCCAATGTGTACTGAACATGTTTTAGGTACTCAGAACTATGATAACACTGAAAATAGAAAGGTAAGAGACAATTTTCCATTCTCAAAGATCAATTTAATGAAGAAAATTTACCCAAACCTATGAAACAATGTAGAATAAGAAGATACAGATATAGACCTTATTGTAAAGAAGGTGTGAGACAGGGACACTTAAGCAATTAAACTTATCAAAGAAAGGCAAACTACATGTCTTCTGTCCAAATGTTCTCTACACACATCCCATTTTGTAACTTAGTTTAACTTCTAAATTAAGTTTAAGTTCATTGGGACTTTCAGAGACAGTATGATGGTTTAAACTGAGCCAGTATTTAACTAACTTTTTGAGGTTCATTTTTAAAATTCATATAATTAGAATATTACGTACTTCATAAGCTTCCACCAAGACAACGTACCTAAGAACTTAATGAATAATATGCATTCATAAAATATGAAAAGTAACATTTCTGTTATCATCCCAGCCTAACTAAACATTATTATGTTAGGAGCTCCTTCTACCTGCACCATTTAAATATAAGAAAAACAGTAAAGAGGATATAAAACAAGTCTGAAGGAATAATGGATACTTAAATATTTTCAGGTCTGTTTTCCACAGAAAAATTTCAATGACGAGTTGAACATTGATTCTAAGCAAGATTTCGCTAATATTTATTATTAAAATAAATGATATAGGCTGCACACGGGGGCTAACGCCCGTACTCCTGGCACTTTAGGAGGCCGAGGCGGGCGGATCATGAGGTTAGGAGATCGAGACTATCCTGGCTAACATGGTGAAACCCCGTCTCTACTAAAAATTAAAAAAAAAAAAATTAGCCGGGCCTGGTGGTGGGCACCAGTAGTCCTAGCTACTTGGGAGGCTGAGGCAGGAGAATGGCTTGAACTGAGAGGCGGAGCTTGCAGTGAGCCGAGGTCATGCCGCTGCACTCCAGCCTGGGCAACAGAGCAAGACTCTGTCTCAAAAAAAAAGGGGAAATTACATATTTAGCAGAAGCCTGAGAATTTTGAAATGTTGTATTGCATTAATGCATAATTACAATATACAGATACAAAATCCAAAACTTTCAAATATTTTAACAATTGTTTTATAAAGAAAAGTGTTTTTTACTGTTACCATCACCCAGTTGACAGCCTTCAGTACATTTAATATTTTATTAATAATTTATTTAAAATATCCACATGACTTTACTCAAAGGAATGAAGGAACTCCATAAAGTATAATTGAAATACTTCAACTTGTTCTTATACAGCTCAAGTAGACTCTAAATTCAAGGCTTTCTCACATTTAACAATGTGAATCCCTTTAATTGCTATAATGGAAGTGTTACTTGTCATTCACACATAATTCATATATTTTTTAATATATATTTATTTTAGATAATTTACTAAAATCAAATTTTTTTATTATTTTACTAAAATCTAATATAAAATAAGGGTTTTCTTAGCTTTTGGTTTATATTAAAGTTACAGAGAAAAGAAAGCAACTAACAATTACAGGACATCATTCATTAAATTTAAAAATACTGTTTCTGTTACACAGATGATATTTGTTGAGTTAATGTTTTGTATTTTTAGAATAGGAGAAAAACATTTACACAAAATTGGTATTTTCTCAGATATTACACATGGGTAAGTATTTGGGGACTCAAAAATGCTTATTTAGTTCTTCAAGTAAGTTTTCAGTTTCATGTAGTGAAGCATTTCATAATTCCAAGAAGTATAAAAAGTAGAAATAGTACGCAATAGAAGAGCTGACAACCTGAGTTTGCAGTGGATTTTCTGCCAGTGCCAAAAATGAAAATATTGGACTGAGCTAAACATCTTTTAATATTCCTGTTTACTTCCTCCTATAAGGTTTTCAATTATCTATTCACATTTATTTAATATTGCCTTCAAAGTAATCATAAAAAAACTATAAATCTATAATTATTTTTAGTATTACATTGTAACCTGAGAACTATAAAATATTTCAGGGAAATAGTATGGTTAGCTGTGGTGCCACAGCCTTTAGCTTCATACACCACTTTCTTCCATACAAACTGCACCTGGCCCTTAAAAATAATTGAATGCATGCCGATCTTATTCGGTGGTAAACATTTAGTAGTAGTAGCATTCATTTCAGAAGATATTGAGATTAGTTGGTCAACTATGATTTTCCCACTTTTTAAGGTTTTTTTTTAACAGTATGGTTATCTAAAGCAACTAAAATGTTTTAGAAGTTCTTGGTCTGATTCTTCAGTGAGTAGTCCCTATTTCAGCAGACAATGACCACTTTGAGATATACTGTGCATCTACGTTATGAAAGTCTTCCTCGAGAATGCTTTTGCATGAACCCTACTTAGGATCAATTTTTTTCCCCATTTTTCTATGTAGTTTACTTTCTTTTTTTATTATTATCCTTTAAGTTCTGGGATAAATGTGCAGAACATGCAGGTTTGTTACACAGGTATACAAAATGGTGTTGGGAAAACCGGCTAGCCAAATGCAGAAAGCTGAACCTGGACCCCTTGCTTACACCTTATGAAAAATTAACTCAAGATGGATTAAAGACTTAAACATAAGACCTAAAGCCATAAAAACCCTAGAAGAAAATCTAGGCAATATCATCCAGGACATAGGCACGGGAAAAGAAGTCATGACTAAAACACCAAAAGCAATTGCAACAAAAGGATCAATGTTTATGTTAAATTTCAATCGCATATTTTTGATACTATGTGGTAATACGCATTTGGGCCACAAATACATGTGCTGCATAGGCTTTTGGTTTCTCATTGGGGAATTTTTGTCTTCTACTCTGAACCAGCAGGTCATTCCATCTGGAGTCTGACTTGGGCAGACACTGCTATTCAACTTCCATTCTTAGGCAGGCCCAAGGACTTGTCCTTTGCCCTTGGCATGATCATTCATCCTCTAGGTTTTAGACTTTAGGGTCTACTTCTGTAACATATAAAAAATGTACCTTGCTTCCAAGATCTCCTCAGGGTTAACACCAGAGAGTATACTTTGGATTTTAGTTCTTATTTGTTTCTGATACTTCGGGATTTCCTTTTCTTTCTTGTGAGATCAGCTACATATTGGAATTTTCGCTGCTTTATTTCAGTCATCATTTCTAAATTTTGGTAGTGAGAACATTTCCAGGTTAGCTGTCTCCTGCCCTAATTGAATGTCCAGATTTTAGGGATTCAAATATTGCAGACTTTCTATGCAATTGCTGCAACTGATTCAGTGTCAATAAACAGAAGATCTTCTCTTTGCTCCCCTAAAAAGATGATTATTTAAGTGACGCATTTCCACATCTACAGAGTATACAAAAACAGGAGTACACATGTGGACAATGATGCTCATTTCTCTTAACTGCAGTGCCATTAACAAAAAAAAAGTGTGAGAATGGGGAATGAAACTGCATACTGGACTCTCTGAAGTCTTTGAAAACAAGTTCAATGAGTAATCACAGTGATTCAACATTCTTTAATATAACTACATGTTGGGAAATAACCATTCTTCTTTCTAATAGTGTGTGTACACATCAGAGGCTTTGGGTCAAAGAATTTGGAGAGAACACAATGGATATAGCATCTGAGTTGTTGAATGACTCAATTAATAACGAAACTGTCCCAGGGAGCCTATTTTCTTTATCCCTGTAAGTACAGAAAGAAAAACTTAAAAATCAGAAGCTTCTCTATTTTTATAAAATGCTCAACTTTATGGTAAGATTCTCAGTTAACAGGCCTTATTTACCAAAATCCCTATTTTTTTGTTATTTCTGTAATATGAGATTTAATGTTTCATTTGCCAAAAATCATATTTATAATTTGTTCTTTATTATGAAAATATAACTTTTGTCCAGGCACAGCAGCCCAAGCCTGTAATCCCCGCACTTTGGGAGGCTGAGGTGAGAGGGTAGCTTGAGGCCAGGAGTTCAAAGTTGCCATAAGCTGTGACTGTGCCACTGCGCTCCAGCCTGGATGATAGAGTTAGACCCCAAATCAAAAAAATAAAAAATAAATAACTTTTAGTTTGTTTTTTAAATAGTTCAAGTTTTGCATTTATTTATTTTCTATATGCTTGTATTAATTTTTACTGATGCTGCTTAGGAGAGTATATGTCAGGAGCATTTTAATATTTACAAATTGTCTTTTAATCACATTTATTTTCATAATTCCATCATCCATTATGACTCATCTCCTCTCTTTCATGATGACTTAATTGAAGTGAAGACACTTAAATAGGATAACTTAGTAAGTTCCTGGAGAAAAATAGGGTTTTAAAAATTTTCACTACAATTATTTTCTTTTTTGAAAGTTTGTACCCAATCCTACCACTTTGGATCTCTGAATTAGTGACATTATGATAGAAATTGTAGAGAATTGTCCGCTTAATTATTCATTACTACTGAGCATGAGGGACAACCTGAAATTGGTGGGAAATATATTTTACAATGCTGATGTGTACCTTGATTGAAACAGAAAAAGTCACTATTAGCCATGTCAATTACTCTCCGAAGAGCAGAGATTGAATCTACCTTCTTCACCATCATACCTTTAAAACTCAACAAGATACTTGGTGTGTAGTTGCTCCATAAATATTTGGTGAATAAATGCATATTTGAGATAGAAATGTATCTATAATCTATTTATACAAACCTCCCTAAATTTTAAGAACAAGAGTGGATTTATTTTCACATATTAAACTTCATTACAAATTTTCTAAGATCAAAATTGGCTTGTTCTGGCTTTGAGAATATGAGTCAGAGAGGATGCTTGTTGTTGGGCTAAATAGAGACACTGAGTCTCTATTTATTATAGTAATATAGACAGTTTTAACAATCTGGAATGTACTGTGAATGAGCAAAAGAGAAAAAGATCATTTTTACAAAGGTACTATCAAATAACTTCATGATTTATTCTACTAGGTAAGTTAGATGAAATATTAGAGATAAGGGATATTAAATTTTAGGTAGTCCAATCCCTATCAGAGGTTAATAGCCTCATGGATGACCAATTATTTGCCTCTGCTTGAGCATGCTTATTAATATTCTGTTGAAGAAGCTGATTGGCAGCTCAAGTTATTTAATGGATCATATAGAAAAATCATTTTGGCTCCTAGATTTGGGGTGGGAACTGAGATCAAGGCAACTGGGATATCAACAAGTAGTAGTGAAATATGCAAAGCACAGTTGAGGATATTATGAAAATATCAGATAGAGCTGGGAAAAAATTAGCATAAGAGTTTACCGTGAGTCACATACTTTTCATGTTTTTTTTTTTTTACCTAGTTCTTCCCTTGGTCTGTGCGCCCCACTTTCCCTATTACACACAGACACATTAGAAATTAGCATTTTGAGTAAGACCATGGACTTCAAAATCACAGAGACCAGGCATTCAAAGATGGCTGCATGACCTACTAACTACATGACCTTTAGGAAAGCTATTTAATTTTGCTCAAGCATTAATCTTCTCATCTGTAAACTAAAACTGATGGAAGAAAGGGAAGGTTAAATGCAATATTTCATGTAAAATTAGTTCTACAGAAATATAGTTATTATTATTTTAATCATCTTCAACATCAAAGGTCTGAGGCTCAAATAGGTGAAAGAACCAGTGGAAAATTACAGCTGATTAGAGTCAGAGGGAAAATTAAAACTTCTCTTCTCACTCTAAGCCTATATTTTATCATTATATTAATCTTCTTTCATTATTGTAATTTAATTTTCCTAAACTTTAGTTTCACTATCCATAAAATGGGACAATAATGTCTACGTGGTAGTAATGCTGAGAATTACACAAGCCACTTAAATGAGTGTTCAACATGAAGAAACTGCTCAATAGGGGAGCTATTGGCTCAGGATAAACTATCTAGCATAAAGCACAATTTTGTAGAATATAAATTCATCTTGTACCTCGTACAATTGGATTTAATTTCCAAGTGTCAAAAGTTTCATCTATAAAAACACAACCAGAGACGAAGATCCTGAAAGTTACAATAGAATAAAGCTGTCTGACTCTTGGTTAGTACCAAGAGAAAGAATCAAGATTTTTTACTTTATTTTTTTTACTTGAGACGGAGTCTCGCTCTGTCACCCAGGCTGGAGTGCAGTAGCACAATCTTGGCTCATTGCAAGCTCCGCCTACCAGGTTCACGCCATTCTCCTGCCTCAGCCTCCTGAGTAGCTGGGACTACAGGCGCCCACCACCACACCTGGCTAATTTTTTTTTGTATTTTTAGTAGAGATGGGGTTTCACTGTGTTAGCCAGGATGGTCTCGATCTCCTGACCTCGTGATCCACCCGCCTCGGCCTTCCAAAATGCTGGGATTACAGGCGTGAGCCACTGTGCCCAGCCTCAGAATCAAGATATTTTTAAAGATGTTGTGAAGAATGCAAAAGAGAATACTTGTCATATGTTTGAAAAATGAAATTACTTTAAAACAAAGTAGGCTGTATTATTACATTAAATTTTAGTTATCTTGGTTGAACAAAACAAAGTAATAATTTTCTCTTTTTTATGCTTTGGAGACAAGTATTTTCATTATGTTTGTTACCTAAAGTCAAAAGAAGCAGAGTTCTTCATAATTATGTCACCAAGACAGGAAAATATTTTATGCACATTTAATTCAAAACACCTTTAGAAAAACATAAGATAAATAAAATAATATGTATAATAAGAACAGTACTAAACTGGCGTCATCTCATGATCCACAACTTAAGCAGGTCTGAGCTAGTGAATTCCAAGTTCTAGAGTTCAAGTGATTATACCAACTGGGTGACAGCAACTATTTTTCTTTTCTCTGTGGAATACTTCACAGTGTGGAGGACATTTTTATCCCAGGAGCCCTGTGTCTAGATATAAAGGTCATTGCTAACCCTTTTCAAAAGGCGGCCTAAATTTCTTGCTTTGCTAAGGGGTTTTTAATTTACGTTGTATTGAATTGTAAGCTCTTAGCAGGTCTAGGGCCAGTGTTTACTCAACAGTGTGCAAGAGTCAGCGGAACGATCTCAACCTAGGTTCCAAACTTTGCATTAAAAAGCATTCACTCCAGGTTTCCCATAATTCACTGATAAAGCCCCCAAATCCCTGCCTTAACCAACAACAGTCTATTTGTGCCCCAGAATCTTGCCAGGGACTATGACCTTAATGTGCTTATCAAATTTGTGAAAATGTTAGCTTAAAAAAAGATATATATGGAGAACTACTGAAAGGCTGTGGAGTCGTTCCATGGACTCCGTTCAACTTTGGACATGACAAAGGTAATCTCAGCATTTACCCTTCATTAAATCAAGACACCAGTGGGCATAACGACAACAACAAGAGTAGATACTTATTGTCTTTCATTGGGTTTATAGAAATAGAGTCAGTGAAGAGGACTCTCAGATATGATTTGACAACATTTTTCCAGGAGGAAAAACTAAGAGAAGCGAGGTAAGATGAGGGAGAAAAAAATAAAGCTAACCAGGGATGTGGTCCCTGTTGGAGATTAGCTTAAGATTGATCCCACTTGGGGTTCTCAAACACAACTTTCACTGCAGCACTGGTAAGTGAGGCAAAAGAAGGCAAAGAGTATCAGCAAAGGCTATTTGCACCCTCTCCCCTGTATCCATAAGTTATTAGCTGCTGGCTGGGGCAGGTGGAATGCAATGAGGGCAGGAAGCACGATTTTCCAGGTGTGGCAAATTTTCTGGAGAAGAGGAAGCAGCCAATCTTCATAGCAGCTGCTGGATGTGCGCACGCATCGGGTGAAGGTCTGGATGGAGCACCAATACAATCTAGTAAATGTGTACCACACTTAGAATGTGCCAGGCAGTGTGCTCTATGTATATTAATTCATTTAATTCTCATAGGAATAGGTAACCTTATTTTACAAATGGGAAAACTAAGACATAGAGTTGCCAATAACTTAAGAATTATTACAAAGCATCGATCTTTATTTGAAAAGAGAAAAGGAAACCTGGTGAATAGTGGTTTCAAATGTTTACTAGATTGAGGTTTATATGCATGGGATGTAATTTTGCAAATAAAAGTTAGATGTTTGAAATAGTGACTAATTAGAGCGGTGTCTAGATTTCACTCACCAGACCAGAACAAAAGCAGGCTGGTGATTATTTCTATTAACCATTAAGTCACACTGTAATTAAACCATGGTCACAATGCCATGCAAGTCTTAACCATATCAAACAGTAAGGATGTGGCCTGCTGGGTAGAGACCTACTATAAAATACCAGCACGGGGACCTGAAATACAGATGTTCATAAATGTAAAAGCTTCATTATTGCACAGTTACAAACAAGGATACTATTCCTCATCTCCACTTACATTAAGATTTACAGAGTTGTCCAAATATTTTACCATGAAAAGTCGCACAGATAATAATTTTTAAATTAGCCTGTATTTTCTGAAATCAATGGCAGTCCACAAGATGACAGTGTTTGATGCGTAGAAAGGTTTAATCTTGGACAGTATTCCAAATGAAGGAAAATTAAGACCTCGGTTAGCAAAATAAAGTTTTCTTATATTCCTGTGTTTTACTTAGTAAAATATTACCTTTTATCCAAAGGATAATTGTCATTTATACATAACACGAATAATTAAATTTTAACTTAGCTCTATGAATTAAAAGCAAAAGAAAATTCATAAGGCAGGTATTTAAAACACTCAACATTTTTTCACTATGAATTTTTAAAAATGCTTAACTTCTTTTAATTTCATGTTATGCAGATTTTATGGTGAAAATTTGAAGATTTATTGCAGTCTGAATACTAACAGAAACAAATAAGTGTTTTATAAATTGTCCCCCTTATAGGTAGGTGAGTCACAGAGGACAAAACCCTCTAGAGTTGTGAACTGCCTAAATTTTCTATGTTAAATGTGGAACTTGAGTTGCTTTTGGGCTTCATTTATCACATAGGTGCAGCAGAGAATCTTCAGGCAAGATAAATTATTATAACGAGATTGTCTGCCCCTCAACTTATTCTTATATTCAATGTAATTTTTCAAAAATGTTTTTTGTGCTTTTATGGCTTAACTAATGCTCATTAATCCTTCATGCAAATCTTTAATGAAGGTAATTTATTTGTCACGTTGCCATGCACCATGAAGAAATAGTGGATACTGTCTATTTATCAACAGGCACTGAAATGGTTTATTTTCTACATCAAGAATTTGTCCCTATTGCTCACCTGTTTAAAAAAAAAAAAAACCTAATCATAAAACACATATTTATCTCTGTTGATATGTAATCACTGTAATAAATCTTAAATTACTATTAATTCATATGCACATAACATGAAAGTTTTGGCTGGGGTTTTTTTTAGTTGAGTTCTTTTTCAAAAGTAGAAAAATTGGTACAAGTTATGCTAGTAATATAAATAGTACAAAAACTATTAAGAATGCATTTTCTTTCTTATTCTACAAGGGGTTTCTCTGTAAAATCACATAGTTTTTAATTTTTATAATCATGTTTATATTTTTTCTAATTTTGTTTATATCATAATCACATTTATAATGTAAAACATACTCATTTTCATAATCATGTAGAATCATGCTTATATATTAATTTTTATAATTACGTTTATATCTACATTAATTTCATAATCTTGAAATTGATGTAGTTAATTTCATCAAATTATCATCAAAATATATTTGCAAAGTAGACATCATCATATCTTACTAGACAATTTTTTTTGCAAATGTATTTTGATATTTGCATAGCTGTAAAATAATAAGGTCTAGTACTAATAGGGGATTTAAACAATTAAAGAACACATAAAAAAGAAAGTATATCTTGGAAAAAATTGTCATATTTAAAGTAATTGAGTGGCCACTGTTTTGAACCTAACATTCATGTTCTATCAGAGATATATGTAATATACATACTATGGATACATGGATGAAAGGTTTTCATGGAATAATAAATTGTTGATTCTCCCTAAGTTATTTTTCCCCTTTCTCTTACTTTTTTGCCCAGTAGTTTTCTAGGATTTGGTGTTCTAAACTGGCTTTCCCTTGGTCAGTTCCCATACTGTCAGTCTTTATCAGTTTTTCTAATTCCAAGATACAGCAGAGATTGACTATTTAAAATCTAAACGTGTTCAGACTTCTTTGTTGAGTATCGATCACTCAGATGTGTTTTGTGTATTCTCCACAAGTGTGGGCTCTGTAATATATTTTTCCCACTAAGCCTCTGTTCCTAGTTTGTAGGTTAATTAATAATTCTGGTGATTGACTCGGTGATATTTTCCCAAATCTCAAGACTAGAAACTATTATAGCTTAAATAAAAATACTATAATTTTCTTGGAACCCAGGAGAGTTACACAATATTATAGTTGTGGAAATAGGAGAACTGTATATCTGTAGGGATTACTGAAAATTTCAAGAATACAAACCAGTTGTTAGGTGAATAAATTTATTCACAAAACACTGATTTAGGAGATGACCGTTAAAGATGAGATCGAGAGATACTGATTGGTGGGGATCACCCAAAGAAATTGTGACTGCACACAAACTGTTAAACTGGAAATCAAGAAAAATCTAGATACTTTATGTCAAACAACGAACAGGGTAAGAAAATAGATTTTTTTTTTCATGCTTGTACTTATGCCTTCTTTGTAGTGAAAAAATAAAAAGCTTAAACACTGGTGTTAGTAACACAATTTATATTATAGTAGAGTGACATGAAATGTGTATTAAGTGCCTAGATTCGTATTCCAGCTGAGACCTCTGGGGAAGAACTGAGACACAGGGGGCTCAACTCGATGAGCGTGTAAGGTAATGTGGCACCATAGAAAAAGATGCCTTTATACCAATGCAAAAACGTGCTTGAATATTTGCACCATCACCTAGCAGCTTTGCAGTCTTGAGCTTGTTTATAGGGCCTCTTCAGTTCTGTTTCTTCATCTATGAAATGATAATAACACTGAGCGGGTAGGATTTTGTGGGAAATTTCAGAAAAAAAAGTGTTAACATCATTATTTCAGGTATATAGTAAGTGCTCAAAATGTCATTATTATTGAAAATTCTAGCCTATACACACACACACACACACACACACACACGCACAGAGGTTTTATTTTTTGCTATGTTTACCTTCTATGCAGAATCATCCTAGCAGTCATTCTAAAAAAACTTCATAAAACATAGCCTCTTACCTAAAACTACATATATACATAAAAGAGGCATTTGACTTTGCAGGACAGTCATACACCCATATTCTATTCTTGTTCCAATTTACCATGCAAAAATTATCCATTATGCAGAACTAAAATATCTGTAAATTTTATAGTATATGTTGCTCTGCAGTATTCCAATCTCATATCAAATTGCAGTTTAGGAGTAGTTTTACTCTTTATACAGGTCACAGGCCTACTAACAGACCTTAAATGGCTCTCTGATATGGAACTCTGTCATGGAATTTAAAATCTATGATAGTCTGGTTTGCTGTCATACCTGTACCCATCTCTTTCTTAACCATCCGATACTATCACCCACTCTTCACTATCATCAATGCTTCATTTTACATTGGGCGATTCTCAAATCCATGTGTCTTTCATCATGTTATTTCCCTAGACTAGAATGCACTCCCACCTTCCTCTGCCCAGTTGCACACTTGGACACAATCCAAGTACAAGTACTACTGCCTCAAAGAAGGTTTTAAGAGTCACATTATTTCCATTTATTTGTGTCCTCTCTTATTCCCTTGAGCAGTAGTTTGTAGTTCTTGAAGAGGTCCCTTCATGTCCCTTGTAAGTTGTATTCCTAGGTATGTATTCTCTTTGTAGCAATTGTGAATGGGAGTTCACTCATGATTTGGCTCTCTGCTTGTCTATTATTGGTGTATAAGAATGCTTGCGATTTTTGCACATTGATTTTGTATCCTGAGACTTAGCTGAAGTTGTTTATCAGCTTAAGGAGTTTTTGGGCTGAGACAATGAGGTTTTCTAAATATACAATCATGTCATCTGCAAATAGAGACAATTTGACTTTCTCTCTTCCTATTTGAATACTCTTTATTTCTTTCTCTTGCCTGATTGCCCTGGCCAGAACTTCCAATACTACATTGAATAGAAGTGGTGAAAGAGGGCATCTTTGTCCTGTGCTGGTTTTCAAGGAGAATGCTTCCAGCTTTTGCCCATTCGGTATGATATTGGCTATAGGTTTGTCATAAATAGCTCTTATTATTTTGAGATACGTTCTTAACTATCTCCTTCAGTTCTGCTCTGATCTTAGTTATTTCTTGTCTCCTGCTAGCTTTTGAATTTGTTTGCTCTTGCTTCTCTAGTTCTTTTAATTGTGATGTTAGGGTGTTGATTTTAGATCTTTCCTGCTTTCTCATATGGGCATTTAGTGCTATAAATTTCCCTCTTAACACTGCTTTAGCTGTGTCCCAGAGATGAATATTATGAAAATGACCATACTGCCTGAAGTAATTCATAGACTGAATACTTTTCCCATCAAGCTATCATTGACTTTCTTCAAAGAGCTAGAAAAAAAAAAACTACTTTAAATTTTATATGGAACCAAAGAAGAGCCCCTATAGCCAAGACAATCCTAAGCAAAAACAACAAAGCTGGAGGCATAATGCTACCTGACTTCAAACTATGCTACAAGGCTACAGTAACCAAAACAGTATGGTAATGGTACCAAAACAGATATATAGACCAATGGAACAGAACAGAGGCCTCAGAAATAACACCACACATCTACAACCAGCTGATTTTTGACAAACCTGACGAAAACAAGCAATGGGGAAAGGATTCCCTGTTTAATAGATGATGGTGGGAAAACTGGGTAGCGATATGCAGAAAACAGAAACTGGACCCCTTCCTTACACCTTGTACATAAATTAACTCAAGATGGATTAAAGACTTAAACATAAAACCTTAAACCATAAAAACCCTAGAAGAAAACCTAGGCAATATCATTCAGGACATAGGCATGGGCAAAGACTTCATGACTGAAACATCAAAAGCAATGGCAACGAAAGCGAACACTGACAAATGGGATCTAATTAAACTAAAGAGCTGCTACACAGCAAAAGAAACTATCATCACAGTGAACAAGCAACATATAGAACGGGAGAAAATTTTTGCAATCTATCCATCTTGCAAAGGTCTAATATCCAGAATCTACAAGGAACTTAAACAAATTTACAAGAAAAAACACAACCCCATCAAAAAGTGGGCAAGGGATATGAACAAACACTTCTCAGAAGAAGACATTTATGCGGCCAACAAACATATGAAAAAAAGCCTATCATCACTGGTTATCAGACAAGGGCAAATCAAAACCACAATGAGACACCATCTCATGCCACTTAGAATGGCGATCATTAAAAAGTCAGGAAGCAACAGATGCTGACAAAGATGTGGAGAAATAGAAACGCTTTTAACCTACTGGAGGGAATGTAAATTAGTTCAACCATTGTGGAAGACAGTGTGATGATTCCTCAAGCATCTAGAACCAGATACTCAATTTGACCCAGCAATCCCATTACTGGATTTATAAATCATTCTACTATAAAGACACATGCACATGTATGTTTATTGGAGCACTGTTTACAATAGCAAAGACTTGGAACCAACCCAAATACTTATCAATGATAGACTGGATAAAGAAAATGTGGTACATATACACCACATATTCCATATGTGGTACATATGGAATACTATGCAGCCATAAAAAAGAATGAGTTCATGTCCTTTGTAGGGACATGGATGAAGCTGGAATTCATCATTCTCAGCATTCTAACACAGGAACAGAAAACCAAAAACCACATGTTCTCACTCCTAAGTGGGACTTGAACAATGAGAACACATGGACATAGGGAGGGGGACACCATACACCGGGGCCTGTCGGGGTTGTGGAGGAGAAGGGAAGGGAGAGCATTAGGACAAATATCTAATGCATGTGGGGCTTAAAACCTAGATTATGGGTTATAGGTGCAGCAAACCACCATGGCACATTACCTATGTAACAAACCTGCACATTCTGCACATGTATCCCAGAACTTAAAGATTTAAAAAGTCACATTAATTTACAATTCACCCTTCTTTTCTGAAATTTTGTAGATACATCATTAACTCGTGCACCAGTTTGCTTACAACACTGCCAATTTACACCAGTTTTCCCAGAAAGAATATTAATATTCCCCCTTTTCATTCTCAAAAATGATCCAGTTTGGATATTATTTATATATATTATATGGTCTCCCTACGCCCTTTCCATCATCCACACAACACATTCCTCTTGTAGTGGTCCTATGTTCTCCCATAGTTCTCTGGATGCATCATCTTCCCTACCAGATCACATACTCATCTAGAGCAGGAACTCTGTCATACACTTACTGTGCAAACGTGGCATACAGGTGAAAAATAAACTTATTTAAATTAATTTAATTTTAGAAATTTTGAAAAGAGTGTTATGTTACCAGTAAAGATAGTTGGAGCTATCTTGAGTTGCCCCAAATTGCTAATGGGTATTATTACTCTAATTTTCAAAAACAGTTTTCAACTCACTAGAGTATCCAGTAAGTAGTTTATGAAGCCCTTTCTGATGATGAATGCAGTGTTTGGTTATTTTAAGTTTAGTGAAATCAGGTGTTTTCTTTTCATCCTATTTCAACCCTTGGTAATAGACTAAATTTATAAGTTCTACTTATAAACTCTATTAGGACTGACATGATTTTGCCTGACTCTTTTTAACTACAACACTGTCTTTTATTTCTTCAATCCACCCTAGCCACACTGGCCCTGCTGTTAGTTTCCAACTTAGGACACGTGCAATAATTTTTACCTTAACCTCAAACACGCATTCCCCAGTTACCTGCATGGCTCATTACTTAACTTCTTTTAGGTCTCTGCTCAAATGACTCCCTGTGGGAGGTCTTTATGGATTTGCTGACCTTAACTAGAACTATCAATAATCAATCTAATCAATCTCTATCTATCTCTCTTTCTCTTTGTGTGTGTGTGTGTTTGTCTTATGTATTTACCTCTATTACTTATCTCTTGCGTGGCAGTAAGTGTTTTCTTAGGGAAGAAATCTTGACTATGTTTTATCTGCTTTGTCCATTACCATACCTCCTCAGTAGTGTAAAAAGTGGCTGGTACACAATAAATAATTTTTGAATGAATAAAAAATAAAATAAATGCAGACAGTAAAATGTTTCCCTACCATGTGCCATAAAATAATTATTTTAAAAACTATTATATTGGGTAAAGTTTACCTCTTTATAAGATGATAAATAAAATAATTAAAATGATTTGTCTGGAAGTTTTTCTAGAAACCCTGGGAATGCATGTATCCTAATATATAGGTAGATATGTTGAGATAAGGACATGAGACTTGAACCAATTCCAGTATTCTAGCTAAATTGTATAGGTCCCGTTAGATTGACATAAATAAAATTTATAGAGGCAACAATATGATTATTAATTGCTTTCACAAATGTTGGAAGTGGGAGAGAAAATTAATGAAACGTATAAAATTTTTAAATGAACTGGAAGACCTGTAAGCACATTTCTATGTCCCAATGTTTTTCCCTACCTTTTTCAAACTGATTCAGTTTAGGGTGAATATTTCTTAATACAAAACATGCCATCCTTGTTTTTTCATTAATTATTTTTCTATCAAGACTACCATTTTGAGATTTTGCTTCCTTGTACAGTTTTGCATTACTTTTAACTTAGCCTGAGTCTTTCCTTTAATTACAAGGAAATTCCATCAAAATGTATGCTTTAATCTATCTGCAGAAAAATACCATATTTTCCAGTGGTAGATCTTTGTGGTGGAATGGTAAGCACACATCATTGATTTTATGAACTCTCTAATGAAGTTCTCAGCTAAGACTGCCAAAATTTTAAAACACAACATAACTGTATTTTAAAGTGGACAAGAACTGTCTCATACACCAATACTTTCATCAATAATTTTATCAAGGAAGAGATGAAAATGCATATGTAGAAGGTGACTAAGGGGATACTAATAATGTTGATGTCGTTGTAATACTGTACCTAAATAAACACTTTATGATTAAATGATGTAGGAGTATCTTTATGAGAACACTAGGTACTAGCCTTTATGTGGCCATTTAAATGTTAATAACTTTGAAATACTATACTCCTCTTGGAAAGGCTCATGGTCTATGCCTTCTTTCCAGTTTTACTTTAGTTCATTAGTTTATTGTCTCTTTATTTCAAAGAGTCAGCAATCTCTACTAATACTAATATTTGGAGGATCTAAAAGCTAAAGAGCACAAATTACATAAATTTAATGTTGATGTAAAATATCATCTTAATGCATAACCTCCATATGATCTAGATCAAGTTTTCTCAATCTCAGCACCCTTGACATTGGGGGCTGATAATTCTTTGTCATGAGAGACTGTCCTCTGCATTGCAGATGTGTATTAGCGTCACTGACCTTCACCCACTAGATGCTGATAGCATCCTGCTGCTCCTCCCCCTGCTCCTATTAAAGAAATTAAAAATGCCTCTAGACATTTCCAAATGTATCCTGACGGTAAAATCATTCCTGGTTGAGAACTAATCCAGAAGTGAAATATTCTGGTTGCCAACCATTTGGGTTATTTGGTGATTATTTCATTTTAAAAATAGATAGATCAACAGATAAAAGCTAACTGCTTTGAGTTTTCATTTTATTTTTAAGAGCAGAACACAATACCTCCTTCATGATTTTACTTCCATAACACAAACATATAGAGGAGGTTCTCAGTACCGTTTCCTAAACTGAATTCAAATTAGGACTCAATCATATTCACAGCACAGAATGATAAGGGACTTATTTACCTTTGATCTAATGGGTCAAAATATAGCTTAATATTTTGGTAATGATTCAGATCATGTTTTGGTAGTGATTTGGGCCCTATTTTTTTCTATTAAATATCAAAATAATTAAAAAAATAAATATTTGGTTGACTATTGATACAGTGGCACATGGACACTATTAGATTGTCATTTTTCCTTCTTTTTATAAAATCTTACACATTGTAGAAAAAAGTTTGCATTAAAAGAGTTTTTCAGTTGTTTGATTCTGCATAAATAATTTACCTTGTAGAGATACAGACTTGCAAATAATGTGAAGAATTCTGAATCAATGCATTAAACTGACTTCTTTTTACTCAATCATTTTGAGGTTAATTTTATTTTTTCACGTTTTTAAAATAACAAAATATGTATTTCTAGAACTTATTTGGTTGCGCTAAAAAATGAAGCTAATATAAATTACTTCAAGATAATGGGAAAAACGCAAATTTATAGTAAACATAATAAAGGAGGAAGAAGCAATTTGCACGAGTATTTAAGGTACTTGTGATCTGAACTAAATAGAAAAGAAAGAAATCAATTTCTTACATTGTTAGAGAAATGTTCAGATTATTAAATCACCATTTTAAGGTATTTTGTTGACTTATGAGTTCATCTTTTTAAATTTTTTTTAGAATACAGAAATTAGAAACACCGGAGGGTTGATAAATCAGCTCAATAAAAGGTAGTCAGTCTACTGTGGGCAAACCTATACAAGTTTCAGTGTTTACAAAGAGTAATAAATTGTAAGACCTCATAATTTAGAATGAGTCAAATCATACAAATACTAATTCAGATATAAGGCAATTAGATTTTCTAAAGCAAATTTCCAGTTTAAAATTTTTCAAATCCTTCCTTTACCATTTATTATTTCTATCACCTAGACTATTTACTAAATGTTCCTCAGTCTTTGTTGCCCTATTTGAGAAGTAGAGATATATTTTTCTTATTATTTTGTAACTATTACATAGAAATGATTTAAGTAAAGTATGTAGATTGCGGCTTGGTGTCTAGCAAGCAAGCATTTACTAAATTGATTATGTTATTAGTTTAGAATATCTTTTAGATAAAGAAGATTTTTGAGACAGAACAATTCTATATATCAGGACAAAAATTTCAAGGTTATTCTAATTCAACTGGTATTGAATTAATACTCTATTTTCTCCCATTTACCATGGCTTAAAATAATTCAGAACTATTACCGGCTTCTTGTACTTCCCATTATGTGCCATGATTCCCTGGGTAGATAGATCTAAGAGCTGATTGCTCCAAGAATAAATCTGTCTCTCAAATATTACATAGTAACCGTTTTAGTACCTATGTATATAATAAGAACTTACTATGTGTCAGATATTTTGCTAAGCAGTCTCTATTATTTGCAATAATATTATTGTTTATCTTCATTTTATTCTATTGAAACGAAGGATTGATGAAATTATGTATTTTGTTTCCTGTACAAGACATGGGTATGGTTTATAACTAGAATCCTAGAATGTAATTAAAATAGTGAAGACTTTCCAAGCATAGGGAGTCACTTGTCCTATGAACCTACAGATTTGGAAGCTATAAGTATCACAGATCTCACCCTTTCCTCCATCAAATCCTTTAAAAATAAAATTCCTTTTGATTTATTTTGTTAGATCCATTCTTAGAATAGAGAATATATATTTTAAAAGCTTTAGAGCCTATTCGCATGATACAAACACTACTTCCAAAACAGAAAGCAGGATATGTATTTAATAAGAGGTTTTTGGAATGTTTTGTTTCTTTTGTTAAACACAGTAAAAGGTATAAAATGCAAAGTTGTATCTTCTATGCACAACAGGCTAAACTTCTACAGTTTACTGATGCCTGGTTCAGTTTCAAGATCAAGGCATTCTATCAGTTAAACCTCAGGCTGAAGCACTGTAACATTTAGGACTCTCGGTTTTCCACTGGAGAAGCAATGCTGCTACTAGAGTACTTTCCCATCTTCCTGGCCTGTTTGTCAAGCTTCGAGCTGCAGCTGCTTACAGGCTGAGAGAGAGTTCATGTCCTAAGTGAAAAGCAAAGTTCTCAAGTACATTTAAAGTGGCCCACAGTTTTCCCTTTTCTCCTTCCGTCTTTCTCTTATGTACAACATGGAGCCACTAAAATGGCACCCAGAGTGATCCTTGTTGACATAACCTGAACCGCAGCCTGAGCACACACATCTCCGAAGCACAGCCCTGTCACCGCTGGCCATTCTGCCTGCATTCAGACTGTGCTGATTGAGCGAGGTCAGCCAGTTTTCTCTCTCCAGACTTTCATTCTCCCTGAGGGGAAGAACGGTTCCAGTGAATGATCCACCATGTCTAACGGCACTCATTTTCGATGCTTGTTAGCTTCATGCCTTTTTGCAATGTGTAAGAACAGCATAAGAGAACGCATTTATATGGCTATCCTCCAGACCAGCTTTGCAGAGAGATCTCAGAACTGCAGCTCTTAGGTGCTGACTTTCGTCTCCCCATCATACATGGGCATATTCTAATTACAGTTACACCGCTTACTATATTTTATGCTCTAAAGAACTCTGCTTAACAACATGTTTTGTAAAAGGAATCCATTTGAAAAAGCTATCTTAACTAAATTAATTTAGAAAGATCATAGATCTAGCTCAAGATCCTGTTTTATTTTTTTTCTTTTTCCTTTAGTGTTTTTAGCAGGAGAATAAAATATGGAGACCTACCTTATATGTACTGTATTACATACACTTAATCATCCCTGTGCGTCTCATGTGGTAAGAACTCCATCGATATCATGGTTGTTTCCTTGCTAATGAAATGTACATTTCTATAACATATCCCTGCCTTGCCTGTGGTTAATATTTAAGAGGAACCTTACATTTAACTCTTATAACATATCCCTGCCTTGCCTGTTGTTAATATTTAAGGAGAACCCTACATTTAACACAAAAGACTTCCATCTCAACCAGGAATGTTTTGTTTATAAATATGATGAGACAACAATGACAGTAGTGCTTCAGATTTCACTTTCATCATTTTCTTAGTCACATCTGGCTGCTTGATCTGCAGGACTATTACTCCCCATATGCCCTGATCCTCTCTGGGATGTCAACCTTGCAGCAAGCTAGAGAGAAATAAGCCTATACTATTTGATATTGTTTGGACTTTTTAATAAGGTTTACATACAACTCTTCCACTGTTATAGGATAGTCTGGATTTCTTCTCATCTTGTTCAAAAAAAAGACTACTTGTTGCTAAGCACGTAGCAGGCAGTGTCCTTTTGAAAATAAGGATAAGAAAAAAGATAAGGCCCTTTGTGTAACAGAATTAATTGGATAATATTCACCCAGTTCCTATTATAGTCTGAAGGAAAGAAAGAGAAAATTGTATAGTTTTAGAACTTTACTAAACGCAAACAACAGAAAGAAAACTTACTGGACATTTGCTTAGGCAACATGCTTGTTATATTTTAAGTGAATAAGCCAGTGAACAGGTGGATGCTTATGTCTGCAACCCCTGCTATTTAGTATCTTTAGGTAAAAAATTTTTTTAATAACCCCTGCAAATGTTTTCAGCAGTGGGTAAAAATAATGACTGTGCCTTATAAACATTGAAGAGAGACTAGAGCTGTGCTCTTGGAGCCCTTCTGCTTTGCAAAGTGTCTTTCTTGAAATAGATTTGATGGAAGGGATAGGATTCATTATTCCTGGTGGAAATACAACGTAAAAGTAGACAGGAAGAATCAAAACATACGTGAGAGAATGGCAATGAATGCCCTCTATAAAACTAAAAGTGAACTGAATTCCAGCATGGTAGGATAAAAGAAAGGCTAGGAAATATACTTGTTCTCTTTGCTCTACACACAACCTCCTCTACAGAAGACTAACTAGTAGTCTGGCAACTTAAAGTTCATTGGTTTGAGCAAAGGGTAATAGTAAAGATTACCAGCAGGCTGAGAAAAGAGATTCAAAACTAGTGCACAAATGACTAGGTGAGGCTAACTTATATTGTTACACTCTTTTTGAAAGACAGTTTGACAATACTTATCAACAAACTTAATACTGATTCTCTCACAAGGAAATTCCACCACTAGAAATTTGGTATCAAAAAATAATTACATATATGTATATAATATATACACAACACACACACATATATATACATACATACACACACACACGGTTCTCTATTAATGTTCATTGCAAAGCAATTTACAATAAGAAATATTTTTGAAAATGCCCTCAAATTTCTAGTATCAGATTAGAGATTAAATAATCTTTCTGGAATACATACAGCCATTAAAAATTGGGGATTAAATAATTTTTAACATGGAATGATGTTTATAATATAATGCTCGGTGAAAAAAACCTAATCTCTAAGGTCCTAAGGCATGTATTATATGTAATAAACTAACTTATCTTCTATTTATTTAGAATGATTTTAGTTACGTACCATTCTTGGGGGAACTAAGAAAACAGTCAATCATATCATTTTCTATAGGGCTCAATTTTCTTTTGGAACCCTGGTTGACAATGGCTAGCTTCAATACACTATTCTAGGTCATATATTCATAGAATCTGAACAATAGCAGGTGTTTGCTAATTTATTAATATTTTTATATCGTATAAAATTTAATTATATTGATATAGATATACATCTATGTGAAGATATATTTCTATGTGAAGATATATGCTGGAGATGTATTTCCATTTTCTAGATATTAGTACTTTTTCACTATAAACATTTGTAATTTGTATTGTTTTAGGACTAATCACCATATATATGTGTGTGTATATATATATATATATATATATATATATATATATATATATATATATATACACACACACACACACACACACACACAGACTGAGTCTCACTCTGTTGCCCAGGCTGGAGTGCAGTGGTGCGATCTCAGCTCACTGCAATCTCTGCCTCCCATGTTCAAGGGATTCTCCTGCCTCAGCCTCCTGACTACAGGTGCATACCACCACACCCAGCTAATTTTTGTATTTTTAGTAGACACAGAGTTTCACCATGCTGGCCAGGCTGGCCTTGAACTCCTGACCTCAGGGGATCCACCCACCATGGCCTTGTGCTGGGATTACAGGCATGAGAAACCATGCCCCGCCCATATTTTGATTTTCAATTTCATTATAGAATCGTTGTACGTATTAAACTATTTTTTCTACTTCTTTGAAAGAAATGGAGGTGGTGGGGGATACGAATAATTTAGAAAATGTTTATATGAGACAAATATAGCAATTATATATATATTGATTGCTTTTATCACGTGCACGTGGACCTCCAATATAAATTGAGATTTTTAAAACAACTGTCAATTGTTATTTAAACTCAAAAATATGTGTATTAATATATGTGGCTGGTTACAATTTCTAATGCTTCTGTCTAGAAACTGTAAAGATATAGCTGAACTCTGGGTTAAGAAAAAGATTCTTCAACTAAGAGAAAGAAAAAGCAAGTAAATATAACCACAGCTGTTTGCACTTTCATTGTAATGGCATCTGTATGACTAATATTTGATTTCTTCAGACAGAAATGGAAAGAATGCTAACTAGGAAAGGAGGAAAATACATGTGCTATAAAGTCCCCAAATTCACACAGAAGAAAAACATATATTTCATTCCAAAATGCTGCAAACAATATATACTATCATCAAAATTATGTATAAATTTTCAAACATAGAATGATAGCAACATAAAGGGTAATAACAAGATTTTCCTATAGCTCCACAGATATAAATGCTGAAAGCAAGTTACTTTCATGGAGAAAATGAAGTAAGCACCTATAATATGAAAACATAAAATCACACAAAGACATATACCTCTTCACTTGAAGATTTATATACTAATCCCATAGCAGCTTTATTCATAATAGTCAAAAATTGAAAACAGCTGAAATGTACATCAACTGATAAATGGATAAACACCTGAAGCATTAGGTTTGGTGCAGACATAACTGTGGTTCTATCATTAGTTTTAATGGCAAAAACGACAATTACGTTTGCACCAACCTAATATATTGCAACAATGAAATATTCAGCAATTATTTAAGAAAAACCCAACTAACTGCCTCAGCAACATGCCTGAATCTCAAAATTATGCCAAGTGAGAGGAGCATACTGTAGAATTTCTTCAAAAACAATTTCTGGACAAAACAAAATATAGGGACAGAAATCACATCAATGAATATCAGGGATGAGAATTGGGGGAAAAATTGATTGGAAAGGGAAGAGCACTGGGGAACTTCTTGTGGTGATGGAAATGTTCTATGCCATGATTATGGTAGTGGTTACATGACTTCTTTTATCTTAATTCACTGAATTATACACTTAAAAGTTGCTGATGTTCATTATATGTTAATATACCTCAATAAAACTAATTAAAAATGATCCATATTTAATAAGTGACATAAAACAAAGAGAAAAGGGTTGACTCAAATATTAATTTGCCAACTGAGAACATTAATTGAAATTCCTAAATGAAGATAACATTTTCTATTTGTTTCTATTTCTCTAGAGTAAGATTTATATTATATGTGATCAAATAACTACATCACTATATTTCTTTATTGAAAAAATATAAAGAAAGGTAACATTATCTTTTGAAATATACAAAATTAACTATTTAAAGTGGGGTACTCAGGCCTCATTATTTGCTTTAGAACAATTAATAAACAGTAGTTATCAAGTACCTGATAACATCCAGGGCTATGTCAGCAAATCTATAAAAGATACAAAGATACTGGGACTGCCTCAGTAGCCTACATCGAGTAGGAAAAATAAGATGTCATAAATGACTGTTGTGCAGTGAAGGATGTGACAAGATTTAGACAAGAGAAGAAAACTTGTTCATAGGCACTTAGGAATGCTAATGAGGAAGCAGGGGGCCAGGAGAGAAGAATAAATCCTTTGTTACTTTGTTAACCATAAACGGATAAAATGAAGAGGGCATCATCATCATCATCATCACTAAGTTATAGAGTATTTACCAAGAAGCAGGCACTGGGTAAAATACTTTACATATATCATCTCATTAAATCTTTCAGCATATACATGTAAAATTTTGAAAATGAGGAATTATGGTAAGAACATGTTATATTTCTTCCCCAAAGTCACATTGCTGATAAGTGACAAAATTGAATCCTTCTGACCCTAGAGCCCAAGAAATATGTATACATATACTATAGTTATTTTAAGGTATGTACTTTAAAAAATGATACAAGTTGACTGGGTGCAGTGGCTCATGCCTGTAATCCCAGCACTTTGGGAGGCTGAGGTGGGTCGATCACCTGAGGTCAGGAGTTCAAGACCACCCTGGCCAACATGGAGAAACCCCGTCTCTACTAAAAATACAAAAATTAGCCAGGCGTGGTGGTGGGTGCCTGCAATCTCAGCTACTCAGAAGGCTGAGGCAGGAGAATTGCTGGAACCCGGGAGGCGAAGGTTGCAGTGAGCCGAGATCGACCCATTGAACTCCAGCCCGGGCTGACAACAGCGAGACTCCGTCTCAAAAAAATAAAATAAAATAAAATACACGTTTCAACAAAAGTGCATAAGGGAGATGGGTAAGCATTTCTGGCACTGGAAATGACATGATCAAAGGCAAGGAAGCTGAAAAAAATGAATACAGTGAGTAAGATAAACAGAAGCTTAGGTGCTTCATAGTCAAATGGCAAACTATACAGGAGACTCAAAAAAGGATCGAGTGCCAGGTTAAGGAACTTAAAGTTAATTTACAGGTGATGGGGAGATATTGGAGGTTTCTATGGTGATAAATTCATATGAAAAATATATCATCATATGACAGATAGGGAGGACTAGCTTAGATACTCTCTGGAATTAGAAGGATATCGTAACTTTCCAGACATTCTGACACATCCACATTTTTCATGCTCAACCCATACATAAGTTACCCCATTTCTTTCTTCCTGCCTTCAGTTTTAGAGCAAGCACTACTAGCAAATATTGCACACTAACTTGTCTGCATTTAACATACTAATTTGACTGGTTGACCACTTTGGCCAAACCAAATGAACGTAACATGGAAACACTAGTTATTCCCACTAATGGGAACCAGTTATCAAAGGAGTGAGTTGCTTGCTTTCTTGATCCATTATTTTTTACATTTTTCTGTGTAGACTATAAAGATGAAACAAAAATAGGCTATTTTAAGGACTTGGGTCAAATCCTTTTACTATGTGGTCAAATCCAATTAAACAATCAAAAATAATTAGGTAAACTAGAGCTGCTTGATGTCAAAATCCCTAACCAATCTAAGTAAAAAAAACCAAGGTTATTGCAGTGTTCTAAGTCTTTTTCCTTATGCTGTGTCTAAATATTCTAAAACAAACTCCATATTGAAGTGTTTGCTTTGTGATAGTTTAGTTTTCCATGTGTAAGTTTTGTCAGATAGTTTAAAAAACTAAAGACTCTGAAACACATTGAGTTTTCCTTTCTAGTGATATCTGGAAAATATATTACAATTAAGTACAGGAAAAGCAATGAAAAGAACAAAACATTTTTCTATTGAAATATTTTAAAGTAAAATATTTTTAAAATGATCTCTGCAGATTTTAAAATAATGTCAAAATGTATCTGTTGATAAGCACTACATTCAGATATTATTAAGTAACTAGTTAAAGCACTTGTTACAAATGCTTCAATGGACAACACAGTTTAGGTTGAAGCAGTCTTTTTCTGATTAATTTGAGAGTATATAATTTATACATTTTTTACTCACAAAGGAAAACAGACATGATATAATAAAAATAAATAATTCCTTTATTTCTCAAGCATTTCCTTCAATATCCTTGTATTGTCTATGTTGCCTGGCTTCTAAATAACTGCTAAAATAGACACTTAAGCACTGCATTATTTTACTTGGTAAAAATACTAAAATGTGTGTGTGTGTGTGTGTGTGTTTGTGTGTATGTGTTTATTTTTATCTACTGTTTATATCCTTGATTTGGGAAGCATTAAATGTTTAATTCAGACAACAATTTAGTTAAGTCAATCAAAATAATTGATGAAATCTCTTGTTTATTTGAATTGGCATAACAAACATGTTAACAAGTGGCCTACGTATACACAAAATAAACATTTTTAGTAAAATTTCAGACCATGTTGTTAGAGTAGGTAGATAGGCAGATATGAACAGGGCAGAATAGGGCCCCAAAGAATATCAGGCAACTGTCAGGTGACTGTCAGGCAATTGTCAGGCGGTCTCCTCAGAAATGAGTGGTCAAGACTGGCACGAGGGGAAGGAACATTTCCTAACACATAGGAAACACCTTGAGCTTTTGGGCAACAAACTCCCAGTAAGATCCTAGGAATTGAACAAACACATCCAGGCATACACAGTAAGGGTCAAAATGGTGGAATTTGATCTTCCTCTTGGGACATGTTCAGGGATGCACAGTAAGAGACAAAATGGCAGATTGTGACCTTTTTCTGAGAATATATTCAGGCATATGCAGTAAGGAGCAAAATGGCAGTTTGATCAGTATATGACCTTCCTCTGGGGGAGCTAGATTGGCAAGGGAAAACTGCTCTAAGAGAGCACGCAGATAACCTCAACCACCAAATGATGCATGTGGCCCCTCCCAGACACTGGCAAGTCACTCTACATACTGCGATTAGCCAACATCCTGCCCAACAGGAAGGACAAGGGGAAAAGACCAGGATAAAAAGCAGGAAATAATAAGTCTATAAGAGCACTGAGCTAAGGATCAGGCGAGGCAGTCAATCTTTTGAGTTTCCAACTTGGGTCCTTCCAAATGGACTTTTCTTTGTTTCAATAAACTCTCATTTCTGCCTTAAATCTACTACCTCTTCTTGGCCAAATTCTTTCTTCCAACAGGACAAGAATCGAGGACCAAGGACCCTGTTCAGACTTGCCACCAGTAACAATAGGTGATATGGTTTGACTGTGTCCCCACCCAAATATCATCTTAAATTGTAGCTCCCATAATCTCCACATGTCTTAGGAGGGAACCAGTGGAGGATAATTTAATCACGGGGGCAGTTACCCTCATGCTGTTCTCATGAAGTCAGTAAGTTCTCACAAGATCTGATGGTTTTATAAGGGGCTTTTCCCTCCTTTTGCCCAGCACTTTTCCTTGCTGCTGTAATGTGAAGAAGGACATGTTTCCTTCCCCTTCCACCATGACTGTAAGTTTCCGGAGGCCTCCCCAGCCCTGCAGAACTGTCAACCAATTAAACGTTTTTCCTTTATCAATTACTCAGTCTCAGGTATTTTGTCACAGCAGCATGAGAATGGACTATTACAGTAAACTGGCACCACGGAGAGTGGGGCACTGCTGAAAGGATACCCAAAAATGTGGAAGCAAATTTGCAACTGGGTAACAGGCAGAGGTTGGAACAGTTCCAAGGGCTGAAAAGAAGACAGAAAAATGTAGGAATGTTTGGAATGTCCTAGAGACTTAGAGGGCTCAGAAGACAGAAAGATGGGGGAAAGTTTGGAACCTCCTAGATACTTGTTGAATGGCTTTGACCAAAATGCTGACAGTGATATGGACAATGAAGTCCAGGCTGAGGTGGTCTCCGATGGAGATGAGGAACTTGTTGGGAACTGGAATAAAGGTGACTCTTGCTATGTTTTAGCAAAGAGACTGGCAGCATTTTGCCCCCACCCTGGGGATCTGTGGAACTTTAAACGTGAGAGAGATGATTTAGGGCACCTGGCAGAAGAAATTTCTAAGCAGCAAAGCATTCAAGATATGACTTGGGTGCTCTTAAAAGCATTTGGTTTTATGCATTCATAAAGATAAGGTTTGGAGTTGGAACTTACATTTAAAAGGGAAACAGAGCATAGAAGTTCAGAAAATTTGCAGCCTGATAATGTGAAACAAAAACCCATTTTCTGAGGAGGAATTCAAGCCAGCTGCAGAAATATGCATAGGTAATGAGGAGCCAAATGTTAATCACCAAGACAATCAGGAAAATGTCTCCAGAGCGTGTGAGAAGTCTTCATAGCAGCCCCTTCCATCACAGGCCCACAGGCCTAGGATGAGAAAATGGTTTTGTGGGCCAGGCCCAGGGCCCTGCTGCTTTGTGCAGACTCAAGACTTGGTGCCCTGCATCCCAGCTGTGGCTAAAAGGGGCCAAGGTAAAGTTCAAGCCATGGCTTCGGAGGGTGCAAGCCCCACACTTTGGCATCTTCCATGTGGTGTTGAGCCTGGAGGTACACAGAGGTCAAGAATTGAGGTTTGGGAACCTCTGGCTAGATTTCAGAATATGGGAGTGCCTGAATGTCCAGGCAGAAGCTTGCTGCAGGGACAGAGCCCTCGTGGAGAACCTCTGCTGAGGCAGTGTGGAAGGCAAATGTGGGATTGGAGCCCCCACACAGAGTCCCCACTTGGGCATTGCCTAGTGTAGCTGTGAGAAGAGGGCCATTGTCCTCCAGACCCCAGAATAGTAGGTCCACTGACAGCTGGCAATGTGAGCCTTGAAAAGCTACAAACAATGCCAGCCCATGAAGGCAGCTGAGAGGGGGCTGTACCCTGCAAATCTGTAAGGGGCGGAGTTGCCCAAGGCCATGGGAGCCCACCTCCTCCATCAGTGTGACCTGGATGTTGGACATGTAGTCAAAGGAAATCATTTTGAACCTTTAAGATTTGACTGTCCCACTGGATTTAGGACTTGCATGGGGCCTCTAACTCCTTCATTTTGGCCAATTTCTCCCATTTGGAATGGGTGTAATTATCCAATGCCTGTACCCCCATAGTATGTAGGAAGTAACTAACTTGCTTTTGATGTTAGAGGCTCATACCAGGATGGAACTTGCCTTGTCTCAGATAAGACTTGACTTGGACTTTTGAGTTAATGCCAGAATTAGTTAAGATTTTTGGGGACTGTTAGAAGGGCATGACTGTGTTTTGAAATGTGAGGACATGAGATTTGAGAGGGGCCAGAGGTGGAATAATATGATTTGGCTGTGTCTCCATACAAATCTCATTTTGAATTGAAGCTCCCATAATCCTCACATGTTGTGGGAGGGACCTGGTGAGAGGTAATTTAATCATGAGAGCAGTTATCCTCATGCTGTTCTCATGACAGTGAGCAAGTTCTCCAGAGATCTGAAGGTTTTGTAAGGGGCTTTTCCGCCTTTTGCTTGGCAATTCTTCTTGCTGCCACCATGTGAAAAAGGATGTATTTGCTTTCCCTTTTGCCATGACTTTAAGTTTCCTGAGGCCCCCAGCCCTGCAGAACTGTGAGTCAATTAAACGTCTTTCCTTTCTAAATTACCCAGTCTCAGGTATTTCTTCATAGCAGCGGGATAATGCACTAATACAATACAATATACTGAATGTGTAAGGACCATATGATATAGTCAAAAGGACATAGGGTTTGAATTCACAGACCTGGATCTCTGTGTTTTTATTTATTAGCCATGGGATTTTAGGCAACTTGCTCTCTGAGCTTCAATATTACCATTTGCAATGTGGTGGTAACAATAACTTACTTATAAAACAGGGATAAAGATAGAATAGGATACATAAAATGTAAAATACTGATTTTCTTTGCTTCCATTTATCCAAAGAGATGGCTAATTCTAGGCAAAACTTAAAAATAGAGCTCTCTGTGTCCAAATAATATAACTCAAGTAACCCTAATTACAAGCTCCTTTTAGGAAAAGAAGTCATAATCACATAATAATGACTAATTGATTACTTTTAAAATTAGTCTCACTCAATTACACTTCCTAGAATCTATGTATTTCCATCTTGCCAATATCTTTTGCATAAGTTATTTATAAAATGTAAGAATACAACATTAACGTATTTCAAAGTAAAACTGTAAATCTTGTAAAAGTTGTGGGTTTCATTAATTTAACAAAGACACATTTGGAAAACAGCTTCAATCAATAAAGCAAAATTATCAAAAAATGAAAGTCTGTGTGATAAACTCTCACAGAATAAAGATCTTATGTAATTTAATATATAGTGATTTGAAATAAAACAACTAAGAAATCTTTAGAAATTTGTGGAAATCCTTAAATATTTTTGGAACAATTACTTTTTGTGTTTGTGGTATAAAAGTTAATTTTGAAGCAAGGAGTATCATGGTATCTTACTATTTTGTAAGATTAAAGATGCCAAAAAAGTCTTGTCCATTTTTCTTGTACTTGTTGTAATTACATCATTTTAAATTATGATTTACATTGTATAATGTAAAATCTCATTTTAAATAAAACTACCATCAAAAATATTTTGTTTTTACCTCTGTGAAATTTTGGTTGCCATTTTATATAGCTTTAAAGGAACAATTTCTGGTATTTATTTATTATTTTAGGATAAAGAGGTCTCCTGAAGATAGCAATGATACTTGATGCCCTTTCACTTAACTGTCAGGATTCATTTTTCCTTTTCTTGATCCCTTCCCCTTCTTAAACTCTGAGATTCCCATTTCCAAGTGCCATTCATCTTCTAGTTGCCTTGTCAGCTTGATGTCAACTAATCTCTGCCAACTGTTAATTAATGTTAGCAGATAATGATTTAAGGCAACCCCTTTCTCAAAAGCATTTGCATTTTAAAGAGGGTTTTTGAAGACAGATTATCAAGACAAAGTTAATTTAATGCTCACTGTCCTCCAACCATTGAGCTAATTATCTTACATAAACTACCTCTTAATTCTGACAACAATGCTGTGAGGTAGCTTTTATTATTCCTTCGCTACAGGCAAGGTAAAGCTTAATTTAACAGACAGACCAATGGTAAATGTCAGAGCCAGGATGAGAATCCCTGGATGTCTGAGACCAAATCCCAGGTGAAATATGATGGTACAATATAGCTATTTAGAAGCAGAGAATATCTGGTATTCCTTCATCATAGTGTTCTTGGGACTACCTCTTATATTCTCTGGATTTGTTTACTTATATCTTATCTGTCTTTACAACGGTTTTGAGAATGGTGAACCTGTCTGCCTGTCTTAAACTAGGTTGAAGAAGAAGTATTTAGAATCCAAAAGAAAAAAAAAACCCACAAAACAAAAATTATCTCTTTTGTTTCTTTCTTTCTTTAATAGGAAATGCCCCAGCTGAAGTGTTACAGCTCATACACAAAAACTGAAGACCTCTTTGCTCTACTCTAACCAATACTTCCAAGGAGTCTCAAGGCCAAGGGGAATGAGGGGTTGCTTAGATTTAGCAGCTAGAAAGGTGTCAGCATCTTTAGTCCTTCAGTGTCCATTGCATTTTGACTATTATTTCCAAACTGGATATACTATATGTTAGAGTGTTTACAATGAAGGAGTGTTAAAAGGACAACCAAATGCATTATACACTATGTTTGCTGAGTGCTCAGGATTAAGCTTCGCTATATAGCTCATTACTTTATAAATTCAGCTATTTTCTATGATGGCTTAAAGCTTATATGCAGAAATAAAATAAGTTTAGTCTGCAAATACTCACTTTATGCACTTACTCCAGTTGCCTTGGCGCTTCCTACTTAACTGATTATTATGATTTTATTTTCCTTCCCTCTGAGATCCAATGTACATACAACACTAGTATTCCCCCTGATGGATATGCATACCACCACAATTCCACCTATAACTGGAGGAGTGATAGTAGAGAAACTGATTGTTTGGAGAGCATATTTAAGTGAGATATACCTGTCTATGGTTTTGCACTTTATGGGAGTCAGGTGTATCAAGAACTGGAGATTTATATCCAGTTTTCTGAGCTACCTATAGATATATAAGACTTCATGTATTCACAACTCAACTAATCTTTTCCTATCCTAAACCAAATTCTCCATTTCTTAGGTACTGTATTTCATAGAGCCAGAAATTTACACACCCTTACTTCTTCAAATTCTGTTTGAATGAACAGATTCATTAATCACCAAAAACAACTGCATTGAAACTGTTCAAAAATAATGTTAAATAGCTATATTAAGATTTTACATATAATTTTGAAAACAGCATATAAAATATTAAATTTTGAAATGAATAGAAGGAAAATTACAATTTAAAAACATATTAATAAAAATAGGTGAAAGTAAAAAGAGGGCAAATAAACCACAGAAAAAGCATGATAACCACTTCAAACTATACTACAAGGCTACAGTAACCAAAACAGTATAGTACTGGTACACATAGACCAATGGAACAGAATAGAGGCCCCTGAATTAAAGCTGCATACCCACAACCAATTGATCTTCAAAAAAAATGACAAAAATAAACAATAGGGAAAGGATACCCTATTCACTAAATGGTTCTGGGAAAACTGGCTAACCATATGCAGAATTAAGTTGGATCCCTATCTCTGATCATACACAAAAATTAACTCAAGATGGATTACATACTTAAATATAAGACCTCAAACTATAAAAATCCTAGAAGAAAACCTAAGAAACACTCTCTAGACATTGGCCTAGGCAAAAAAAATATGACTAAGTTCTCAAAAGCAAATGCAACAAAACCAAAAAGTAAGCAAAGGATATGAACAGACACTTCTCAAAAGAAAACATACAAGCAGCCAGCAACCATGTAAAAATGTTCAGCATCACTAATTATCAGAGAGATGCAAATGAAAACCGCAATGAGATACCATCTTATACCAGCCAGAATGGCTATTAATAAAAAGTAAAACAAAAATAATAGATGCCGGGTGTGGCGGCTCACGTCTGTAATCCCAGCACTTTGGGACGCAGAAGCCGGCGGACCATGAGGTCAGGAGATTGAGGCCATCGTGGCCAACATGGTGAAACCCTGTCTCTACTAAAACACAAAAAATTAGCTGGGTGTGGTGGTGTGCGCCTGTAGTACCTACCAGCTACTTGGAAGGCTGAGGCAGGGGAATCGCTTGAAGCCAGGAGGTGGAGGTTGCAGTGAGCTGAGATCATGCCACTGCTCTCCAGCCTGGCAACAGAGCAAGACTCTGTCAGATAGATAGATAGATAGATAGATAGATAGATAGATAGATAGATAGATAGACAGACAGATAGATTAGATAGACAGATATTGGTGAGGTTACAGTGAAAAGGGAATACTTCTACATTTTTCATGGGAATGCAAATTAGCTCAGTCTCTGTGGAAAGCAGTTTGGACATTTCTCAAAGAACTAAAACTAGATTACCATTCAACCTAGCAATCCCATTACTGGGTATATACCCCAAAGTAAATAAACCACTTCAACGTAAGCTTTTGAATATTTCTGTACATAATAAAGTCAAATATGTAAGTAAAATAGTAATAAATGACTTATTTATGTAGAAAGTATCTATAAATGATAGCTTCTAAATAGTAAAATAACTTTATATAGGTTTATAGGTTTTATGAGGCTATTTCTACATTTTCACAAAGCCTTCCTTTACAATATAACCCTCAATTTCAAAATTACTAAACTGAAAAACACGTTTTTTGGCAATCAAAACTCATTTGGGCTAGGTGTGCTTAACATTTTAAATATATATATTTATTGTCTTATAGATGAATAACCACCTCAGTATCCAAACAAGGTATTTTCATGTACATATGTTGCTGACAGAGATTAATATTGATCTCTTGGGAAGAAAACTGAGAAATTTAGCTATCAAGTCAATTCAAGCTTTTGCTTTTATTTGAAGAAAAATGGGCATTGCACATCTATTTGAGGTAATAAGAAAATGGATCTGTGGGCTGTTTCTGAATAATTTTTAATATTCTCTGATGTGTAAACTGTTTTATCATTTCATACAGCTTCCACTGAATCATAGTAGCTGCTACAATTTGAAATAGCAATACATGAATGTGATATTAAGTGACCCAAATATCTGTCATGAATATAGGATACAATGAGCTAATACCAGAAGGCTGACAGAAACTGTCTAAAACCTTGCAAAACTCAACTGTTAGAATCTGCATTTCACTCAGTTATTTAACATGCGTTTAATGAACACCTAGTAAGGATCAGACACTGTGCTACGTATTGGGAATATGAAGTGGAAGGTGGTAAGCTTCATATACTGAAAGAACATATAATCTACTTGGAAAGATAAAAATAATAAAATTTGACTCCTGACACTTTACATTGTATTGTTCCAATAGATAAAATAACAAACTAATTATGATTTGAAAAACGGAAGTAAAACAAGATTGGGAAACAAAATGCAATCAAGCATCAGTTGAACAAGTATGCTATGATAATCTACATGACTATTTGGATGAAACAGAAACTTGGGTCTAAGATTTCTAGCACGTATCAGGTTATTTACTAATTTCATAATATCAATCTCATTCCACCCAAACAAAGGCAGTTGTTGAAGTCATTGCTAATAAATGTCAGATCAGAAACTTCACCCTGGATTATTCTTTTCTCACTTCCTCTGTAATTTGGTTTGGTGTGTCCCCACTCAAATCTCATCTTGACTTGTAGCTTTCATAATCCCTACGTGTTGTGGGATGGATCCAGTGAGAGGTAACTGAATCATGGGGGTGAATTTTTCCCATTGTGTTCTCATGATGGTGAATAAGTCTCACAAGATCTGGTGGCTTTAGAAAGGGCAGTTCCCTTGCACATGCTCTCTTGCCTGCCACCACGTAAGACGCACCTTTGCCCCTCCTTCACTTTCTGCCATAATTGTGAGGCCCTCCAGCCAGGTGAAACTGTGAGTCCATTAAACCTCTTTTTCTTTATAAATTACCCGGTATCAGGTATTTCTTCACAGCAATACGAAAATGGACTAATATATTCTGTTTCTTCAGCAAGCTTTTTTGACTATATTTTCCCAAGAGAGTTTCAAAGTTCTTCTTTTAAGCAAATAAGCAAGACATTAAAATTAATGCACCATTTCACAATATAATTATGAGAAAAAGGTAAATTTTAAGAAAGGTTTTCTTGTTACATAGCTGATCTGTTTTTTTCCTATTCTTATTTATGACTTTTCCATCAAAGTTTCTGATATTTATTAAAACCTGGGCTCATTTCATATATTTCTGAATATTATACATAGATTCATTCAATAAATATTTTTGAGCTCATACTCTGTCCTAGGCAATGGGGTAATAACAGTGAACAAAACCTGCAGAATTTATGTCTTAGTAGAATTTGCATTGTAACCGAAGGAGACAAACTATGAACAACGAAGTAAGTAAATGCGTGCAGTATATGGAATGCTAGGAGCATTATGGAGAAAAATTAAGGCAGTATATGTAATGCTGTGAGTACTACGGAGAAAAATAAAGCAAAGATGGAGAAACGAATTGTGGAGTAGAAATCAAAAGAGGAAGATTGTAAAAGGTTTTACTAAGGTGATATTTAAAGAAAGATATGGATGTGAGGGAGTGAGCCATTCATATACCTGGGATATACATGATCCAGGCCTAGGGAATAGCGACTGCAAAGGCCTTAAGGTAGGAGCTTGTCTGGTTGTTTGAGACATCAAGGAAATGACAATAACTACAAGAAAGAGAGTAGGAGGGAAAGCAGTAGCTGAGTTCAGACAGATCAATTGGAGGCAAATGGCGAGGGTTCTCCAAGCGATGGTAGGGACTTTGGCTTTGATATTAAGCTGAATGAGATGGTGCATGAGTGTGCTCAAGTTGCCATAACAACGTGCCACAGACTGGATGACTTAAACAACAGAAATTTATTTTCCCACAGTTATGGAGGCTGGAAGTCTGGGATTAGGTGACAGCATGGTTGGTTTCTGATGAGGGCTTTCTTTCTGGTTTGCAGATGGACACCTTCTTTGTTTTCTCACATTCAGTAGAGAAAGAGAGCTCTCTGGTGTCTCTTCTAATAAAGTCATTAATCTTATCATAAAGGCCCAACCCTCAAGGCCTCATATAAAACTAAAAAAAAGCCCCATCTCCAAATACCACCTTCTATGGTCTGAATGTTTATATCCCCTCAAAAGTAGTATGTTGAAATCCTAACTGCCAATGTGCTGGTATTAGTTGGCAAGTGTTTTGGTAAGTGATCAAGTCATGAGAGTGAAGCTCTCATGAATGAGATTAGTGTACTTATAAGTAAGGCCCAAGAGAGCTGTCTGGCCCCTTCCACCATGTGAGTACACAGCAAGAAGTTGTCTATGGACCAGAAAGTGGGCTGACACCAGTAAAATTACTGATGGTTTGTATGTAGGGTGTAGAGAAAGTGAGAAGTGAAGAATGGCTCTGAGGCCTGATGTACAGAATGAAATTTCTATTAATAGAGGTGGAAAAGACTGTAGCTAGAGAAGGTTTGGGGAAGAAATAACCAGGAGTTCAGATTTAGACATGGTTAAGATTGAAGTGCCTATTAGCCAAATACTGATAGGCAGTTGGATATACATACAAGCCAGAGTCTGGGTTAGAGATGTATGTTAGGGAGATTTTAGATATTTAGATATTTAAAGCTTTATTATCAGGTGAAAACTAACAAAGTGTGAGTTTATTAAGGAGATAAGAAGTTATAGTACTGACACTTGGGGGACTATAAAATTAAGAGTTTGAGGAGATGAGACAAATCAGCAAAGGAGATTAAGAAGAAAGAGTGGAGGAATATCAAGAGTGAGGAATCTTTTAAGCTAAGTGAAAATAGTGTTTTATGGAGAAAGAAATAACCCACATGAGAACTGAAAATAATCCAAATGGATAAACAAAATGGAATGTGTCCTTAAAATGAAATACTACTCAGCAATATAAAGCAACAAACTATTGATACATGCCATGATACAGATGAATCTCAGATTCTGCCCAGTAAAAGAAACCAAACACCCACAGACGTGCACATACATAGATTGCAGATTGTATGATTGCATTAAAATGAAATTTCTGGCTGGACCCAGTGGCTCATGCCTATAATCCCAGCACTTTGGGATTATAGGTGAGCGGATCACTTAAGCCTAGGAGTTCAAGAACAGCCTGAGTAACATGGCAAAAACATGTCTTAAATAAAATAAAATAAAATAAAATAAAATAAAATAAATATTCTAGAAAAGTCAAAACTATAGAGACAGAAAGCATAGCAAAAATTGCCTAGGGACATGAGTAGGAGAGGGATTGAATGACTTTTTGAAATGATGGAAGTATCTTTCAAGTTGTGGTGATGAAGGCACAATTATATAAATGTACCAAAACTCATTGAACTGTACACTTAAAATGCGTGAATTTTATGGGATAAAAATTGCATGTCAATAAATCTGTTAGAAAGAGAGTAGAGACAAAAATAGGGGGAAGAGAGAGAAACACACAGACTGACTGAGAGGAATAGAATTGGATAGAGTATATAAAGACAAAGTTTTTGAAGTTTTACTGTAAAGGGAAACCAAAAATCATGTAGTAGCTGAATGAAGAGGGCATTGGCCGATGGAGTTTTCCTTTGTTTTATTTTTATATGGAGGAAAGAATAGCAGGTTTCCATGTTGATGGACTGCTCCAGAAGAGGAATCAAACTCTGATAAAAATGCAGAAGAAGGGGTACTGCTGAAACAATTTCTTAAAGTAGGCAAAAAAAGATGAACTACAGCGCCACACAAGTTGAGAGATTAGTCTTAGAACTGCAACAAATGCATATGCTATACTATACCGTTGGAAGTAAAGCTTGGAGTCGCAAGAAAAAGAGCACGTAAAGACAGGATTTCTCAGCAAGGCAAAATTTGCTTCTGCAGAAGAATGCTGCTCCCAAGTCTGGTCATGAGAGCACACCAAACAAAGGCAGGAAGGGGTTTTTATCCTTAATGCAGCTTATCCCTGCTACTGTGTCCTGCCTCCACTGGCTGGAGTTGGACTGCACAATCTAAGCTGAACCTGGCTGGCTAACTTGAAAGGTGCAGGAATGTGGTTACACTGGCAGGAAGGGCGGTTTCAGCAGGAAAAGCTGTTGCGATGGGAGGGGTAATTTACAGAGTGGGTAGCAAATGTGGGCTCTGTAAATAAGGACTGTTGGGAAAGTTGTTTACTGAAATTAAAATAGGGAGGAACAAAGGATAAGGAAGTTAGTGTGGCCTTGGAAGTAGGGGACGAAGAACAGGGATGCTGAATAAGCCAAACCTTTGAAAAGGAAATTCTTTTGTATCTGACTTATACTCTACTATAGTACACTATGCTATACTGTACCATATACTGTACTATATACTATAATATATACTAAAAACTGGGAAGTCAGAGTGTATGGCTACAAATGCTAATTGGTGTGTGACTTGGTGATGAGAGCTTGTGGAGGTTATTTTCTAATTGCTTTCTCTTTCACAACGTAATAGGATGCATGTTTATCACCTGAGAGTGAGACTGGGGAAGACACATAAAACATTTGACAAAAGTATAGTAAAAATAATAGGTTTTTAAAAAAATTCTAGTTAACATTAAGATGTAAAGTTCATCATTTTTATTTTAAATTGACAGCAGTCTGTATAACTGGTTTTTTGTTCATTTGTTTTGTATGTGTGCTTTGGTTTTTGGGATTGTTTAACAGTAATATTAAACTGAATAGATTCATATGTGAAGTAGGCTAAGAGTTGGATCTATATTGTGATTAGGGTTTTGCAAACTGGAATGTCAGTGTGCGAAAGCAAAAGAGAGATGACAAAATTGAAGCTGTATAAAAGAATATGATAATAACTGAAGGAGAAAAGTAAGAATCAAAGGAGGTGGAGTAGAATGAAAATAGGGTAGGATCAATGATTTGTAGATTTCCATGACATGAAAGGACTCCTGCAATCAGGGTACTAAAGGGGTGAGTAGAAGACAGTGGATGCTGTTCAGAAAATAAGAAGCTTGTAAATATGGCAATTGAGAGACTGCAGCTGTGGTAATAACATATCAAGTTGGCCTTGGTCAAGCAGATGAGTTCGGATGTAAAACACGATTACTGAACAGTCATTTAATTTACATATATTGATCTCAATCAGAGATCACATTATTACTTAATCAGTTATTAGTGCCTATTCTTATCTTATGTTTATCTTACCATATATGCAATTCATTGTACTATATTCTCCCACCAGAAATCTGTATACAGTTTTCTCTGCCAATTGGATAATTTATGTGTAATCCCGAAGTTTTGACTTCTATATTATCCTCTTCCATTTCACTTTGTTTAAAAATACACGTTCCCCAGCCTTAAAATAAAGATCATATCTCAGAAAATCTTGCTTATTTTCCCACAGGGGTCACTTTATGTTGTTAACTCCTGTCAGTCTAGTGATGGATCAGTCATCCTCTATAAAGCCTGTTATATTCTCTTTCTCCTTCCCCTTCTTTTCCCCTTTTCTGCAATCTCTAACAATTATTCAACTAATAACCCCCTTGGATGAAATCTGTTTAATAACCAATATGAGACATGACTTATATTAATGCTATACACTTTCCCTAAATGTAATAAAAATTTTTGTCTTATCCATTAAAAAAATTAAAACAGATGTTGTCTTGAAAGAACCTAAATCTGGATTTAGATGCAGGCAAGAATAGATATGTTTAATGTAAACTTCCCAAACCTTTCACAGAAAGATTAGAATAACTGGACTGGTGTACAGGAATTGGAGTGGTACAACTCAACAATTGGAGGGGTACAACTCAAACAATAATTACCCTAATTGTAATTATTATCTGAGTTTCAAATAAAAGTGTTTTCAAAAATATGTCCCTGTTGATATGCAGCATACTTTCGATTAAAAATATAGAAGGGGGATCAGATAAAGATAAAGAAGTCTTAAGAAAATCAATGTAGGCCATTTTGTTATTAAAAAAATATGTACAGTAGAGCCAAATTGTGCTCCATTACTACCCTGATAATATAACCTAGAAACAAATATGGCCATCACTCTAATTAAAGAAGAAAAAATTACTGACATACCAAGACCTTCAATTCTGTTACCAGTTGTTAATTAAGGCCTTCATTCCTTGGTTCTTCCTTGTGCTCTTTCTCTTTCTCTCTCTCTTTAACTGATGCTGGTCACTCTTAACTTATAGTAAAGCTATACTAAGTTCCAAAGGAGTACTCATCTCAAATTATGAAACTCAAACAAAATAGATATAATTAGGTGTAAGCTTGCAAAAGGACGTATAATTAATCTGAGCAGAGCTTAGTTTTCTGCTTCCTCAAGCCACATAAAGTACTCACCATGACTTTTACAAACAAGACCTCAAAGAGCCAAAAAGTACTAACTAAATTGCAGTTTTGTTTGAAACTCAAAAAAAGCATTTCTTAGAAGTTCTAATTCCAGTGTGGCAAAGAGCACCATAAACAACTAAGTATCCAGTTTATCTTTTGAAACAAGACGCATATTGGTATTCAGTTAACTCAACTCTGATACTCCAAACTATTTTGAAAAGTTTTCATTCTCTCAGTTTATCGCTTCCTTTGTGCTCTAGGCAATATATTCTTCACTGATGGAAGACAGAGGCATAACAGTGACAGTTAACAGTTAGAATGGCAATAAAACAATCTTATTGGAGTTCAGTATCCTGTCTAATGATATTTAGAGTACGTGATCTTGAATTACTCATCTGGCACTCTGATAGATGTCAAGAAAACCATGCACATTTCACCTGAAATGTTCTCCCATCAATATACTGTCTAAAAGAATGAACACATAGCAAAAGAGAGCAGCAGCAGCAGCAAAGAATGAGATCCTACTGTACCTGGTGAATGTGGCGGAGGAGAGCACATCAGAACGACACCCTGGCCTTCCCTCACAGAGACTGCACTTCTTGTCCGGCCACTAAAATTTCCCAGATCTGTCAACATAATAAAACATTTAGATCCAAGGCAGAAAAGAATGTAAAGAATTGCTATGATTGTAACTTGTACTTACTTTCTATCGTTATCTTCACAAGGTGTCTTTTGTTTGTTAATCAGTGACAAGAAGGCTTTAACATATATCTACATCATCTAATTTTAAATACCACAATGGAAATAAATCTATACCACCCATAGAAAAACCACACTCTTTATTTTTATTTACAGTCCATTCAAGTTGCCAGTATAGATGCTAGGGAGTATAGCATTTTTAACACAAAGAGTCATTTTTTATAATATTTCCTACGTAGTGATATTTCTACTACCAATAACGCCCATTCTCTCATAGTGAAAAGAGAAACAGAACTGGTTAGAGGACTTGGTGTCCCACCGGCTTCTTCATTATATGTCAGGCTAAGAATGATGTGTAAAACCAAGCATGAGCATGCCAAATTAGAGAGGCTTGTATGCTCTAACAAAATATAGTAAAAATAGAAAAAGCATTCTTTTTCTATAAATGTGAATAAGAAAGTTATGTGACTTTCATTTTATGAAAGCCTAGAATGGGCTCTGTGAATTAACTACTCTCATCCATTTTGATTAGTCTGGGAGTATTAGTTAACGAAATATTCACTTCTATGTAAAAGGGATTATAGTATTGGAGATCAATGGCCTTCCCTTAAACTATGTTGCATTTACACAATTTGAAAAGATTTTCCTAAAAAGAAAATGGTCCAAAAGGGAATGATGTGTAATTTAAATTGTAATTCTATTATTGCTTATTAAACTATTTATATCTCAGTACTTACGCTCCTTTCCTTTTTCCTGGGATAGGTTGATCAATAAGACAACTTTTAGACTACTTTATTGCAAATGGTAGGAGTTCAATATTTTTATAAATAAACTGTCCCAGAATTCTGGGTCTGTAAATCATGTTTCCATGATAAGAAATGCTTCTTAGAAATGTTCTGCCATTTCTTCCATTAGGCACAAATTGTAAAATAGATTTTTAAAATATATTTTAATTATTTCATGCTAAAATAATATGCTTTGTAGCAATACAAGGTAGAGCTTCAAATTTAATATTAATTTGACAAATAAACTGAACACTCAAGAAAATACACTAGTGGATATGAAGGAGATAAATTACTAGTCTATAACAATCTAAGAAAAATTCTATACATTATATTTTTGAGATGGGTAAGAATTTACTAATTATTTTGCTGAATGTATAACCAAATCTTCTTAAACACATCCAAAATCATGGGGGTCTAATAAGTAGTGAAGACATGACACCAAATAAAGAAACAGAGAAGTATTCATTATTGCAGAATGTGTTTAAGATTTTATACAAAATTCAATGTTTCTTTATAAACAGTTAAGCTTTTCATAAAGTAGCAGGACAAAAGAAAAAGAGCAATTCTAGTTCTACTTTTCTGGGGGATTGTTACTTTAAAAATATATACACTAACTTCAGTAGCAGTAAAAATCAAGGCAGTCATTTTCAAATATATGTACCTACAAGGTTACTGCTCTGATTTCTATTACCAAATATTATGCTTGTCTCTTTTTGAATTTCATATGTATGAGATAATACAACATACACATGATTGTCTGTAACAAACAAACAAATATATGCAAATCATGGCTTTAAACTCAAAAGGACTGATTCTTAGAGGCTTTTTTTTCCAAAAAATGATCTTAATATGAAATCAAAGCATGGCAAGATTTCTAATTTGACTTCCTTTTACTTTACTCCTAGAAATACAATACAAGATAGTTAGGCAGTGGTTGTGGCAGGACTTTAATGTATATTTTGAGAGCCTCCTCCCTCTGTTGCCCAGGCTGGAGTGCAGGATGTGATCATAACTCACTGCAGTCTGTAAATCCTGGGGTCAAGAAATCCTCCAGTCTCAGCCTCCCGAGTAGCTGGGACTACAGATACATGCCAATATACTCAGCTAATTTTTCAAATTCTTCGTAGAGACAGAGTCTCGCTATGTTGCCAACACTGGTCTCAAGCAATCCTCTGGCCTCTGTTTCCCAAAGTACTGGGATTATAGGGGAAAGCCACCATGCTTGATTTTAATATCTCTAGGGATTATGTGGTTTCACTTTCCTCTTTTCATCTTCATCGAATCTACAAATTCTGGAAGGTCATTGGGATATCAATTTATTTTAACTGAATTTTTAAAATGGTCTCTAAAACATAAATATCCATTTCAATCCATTTACTACAAGTTTATATTATGCTTATTTTTGTGACATTTCAAATCAACCTATTGTATTTACAAGATTAATAGAAAACAGTCCTAAATTAATGCCTATTTCTGAGGAATTGAAGTACAGGCATGCCCTAGAAATTAAACACACAAAGAAAAGAAAATTATAGAATAACTATGACCTAAATTGTGTTTTGAGATCCCAATGACCCAAAAGATGATACTTCACTCCAATTGCTTTATTTTGTACCAGCTTTTAATACAAGCAAAATTCAACATTTCCTCATAGAATTGTCTCTGTGTCATTATTTCCTGGGAACTTTAGCACCAGAAGCCCAAAGATAAATAGATTTTTTTATATTGTGAGTAGATTTTTTTTTTCTTTCTTGAAGACATATAAATACTAAAAAGAAGTCTGTACTTTCATGGGGTATGTACATTTCTCACTTAACTCTTTCCTACCATAAAGAAAAGTGAAACATTATTATCTACAATGTAAAAGTGGTCCCTGTACCAAGCAAGATGATGGTTGATCTAAGGCAGAATGGTTTATGTAAAAAAATTCTTGGTTGATGGGGATGGTGGTTAGACTGAATAGCCTGAGTGAAAATTTAACTGTTTGTTCATCTCTCACTAAGAAGAGAAAGGAGTTAATTTCTTTGGAGGTATTTAATCAGAGAACTTTGAAATACTTCGGTGGATGTATGTGCAGGTTCAGTGTCTATCATGTTATTTTAATAGATGACACGTTACATGTACCAAGAAGATAAATGGAAAAAAGACCAAGTGCTTTTATAGATATTGGCTTGAATTGTTTTATTGCAATTACACAAGGTCAAAAATACATGTTCGTGTGTTCTATTTTATACCTTTACAGGAATAAAAGGGAGTAAAAATAAAAATCACAATACGAAGACTCTAAAATTCAGGTTCAAATTACACACTGAAATAAATATCTTTCTGGACTTACTATAAGGCACATTTACAAATACTCAACTTAAGAAACAAGATGAGAAATTTTGTGATCAAAAGTCACAGGGCCCTAGACTTTGTCTTTGCTCTGACCTTTCTTTTTCTGAGTTAAGAAGCTCACACAGGGTTTAAAAGAAGAGCTGTAACTAGAACTGTAGCTTGGAGAATTACTGCACCTATTCATCCTAGAAGAACTACGAAAAAAAAAAAAAACTATGAAAAACATACAATAATAGATGTTATTAAGAGCTTTAGATGATGGAGTGTAGACTTGGGATATGAGATTTGAGCCATATTGATCAGATGTAAAATGAACCATTTTATGAATTTATTTAACAAATATTTATTCAATGCATACTATATATTAAAAACTGTGTTAGGTACTGGTTATGCAGAAAAACTGTAAAGGATATACATATATAAATGAATTAATCATACCTACTTGGGCCAACTTTTCATAGCTCACAGGAGTCTGGGTCACCAAATAGGTATATAAGCCCAAATCCTCAAAGCTCAGCTTGTCACAGCCACACTCATGAGTGACCAAAAACATACCATGAACATTTACCATGTAGCACTTCACACTATTTCTCTAAATGGGAGCTATTAATACATGAACACACATACACACAGACTTTAGATTTTTCCTTTATTTCCTTCCTTTTTTCTTCCCTTTCCCTCCCTTCCTTCCTCTTCCTCTTCCTTTTTGCCTTGTCTTCCTTCCTTCTTGACATTCTTCAGTTACTCTTTTCATCCCTGTATTGTTCCACAAAGTATTTGAGGTAGCTTAAAATATGTATCTGCCTCAATAATAATAAGTAAACAAATAAAACAATAGTTGAGGAATTCTAGGTGAAGACAAAATAAGCATGGTGAGAAGGCTGCAGGGCAAAACAAGTATTTAGGAATATACACTATATATTGTTGTAAATTATTGGAAGTTGGCTACAAATTTGACTCTAAACTTAAGAGGAGCCAAAACAAGGTAGAGATATACCCAATCCTAAGGGGATTTCTCCTGAAAGACTTCATAGACTTCATAAAGATAACACGTGGTAATAGAGTTGGCAGAGAAACTTGGCAAACTACTCAGAAAGTTATTTTTCTTTTTTTTTTTTTTAACCTCCTGAGACATGTTGAGTAGGTAGAATGTGAGCTATATGTACCCACACACAAACACCTGAAAAATATTTCAAAAATTATTCCCTAAAAAGCATTATTTTAAAGTGTTGGAGGGAAATAGAGTACCTGAAACTATCAAAAGAGATAGTACATAAGAGATTCTGGACACTGATCTTGTATCTTACGTATGTTAAATATAATAGCTTGGTTTAGTTATTGGGGAGGAGTGAGGAAAAGGCTCAAGACAGGAGAATAAAAGCTATACAATTAGAAGTAAAACGCTGTGGTTGATTTGTCTCCTGGACTTATGTTTCCCAGTCTTAAGTCTGTTCTGAATAAGTGGCAATGTTGAGCTTATAGGAGGTGTGTTTGGAAAAAGGAAGAGGAATGGAGTGCCAATACTGAGGTATTCGTGGCTATACATTTATCCTGTAGGTGGCCCTAATGAGTTTTAGACTATCAGTGCTCCAAGGATTCTCAATTAATTCTCTAAAAGTGCTGTGAACACAGATACGATTTAATGCAAATTTTAAAATTTTTTATAAAATTGAGATTTTGACTTTTTACAAAAAGACCATTGAAAAGGCAAATTATATTAGACTAAGTGTCAGAGACAAATTTTATAAAGTTTCATTAATTACATTTGAGTGTCATATATATTATATGAAAGATTAAGGAACTGAGCTGGCTTCTCAACATGAGAGGCCTTCAACTTTAATTTCTATGACTTCTGTAAAAACAACGGACAAGTTTTGTAATACTGACTTGGTATTTGCTGCCTCACTTGCAAAGTGATTGCATATTGAAGTCTTCCATTGGCTGTATTCATTGTTCCTGTTACTATCATCAGGATTATTCAGGTCACTGTAAATTTTTTTGCATTCCATGCAAATACCCTATAATAAAAATTAGTCAAACTTCATTCACAAACTATTTTTGACCTTCTAAATGTTTAGAAAAGAGAAAAGAGAGAAAAGGAAATGAATGAAAATAGTTACACTAGCTACTAACATACCTACTCTATGCCAGGCTTCCTGGAAGTAGATACTAATTCCTGTTTTTCTATGTGAAAAGCAAGTAAAAAATTCACTGCAGTCATATATTTAATAGAGTTGGCAAATCAAAGTCAATGTGATTGATTCTAAAGTTTTAAAAACTATACCAGGACAAAAGCAATTCAATGTTTGGAAGTTAAACCACACTAATTTTAGGAATTTTAAAATAATCTTCAATAAGGACATCTTATTAAAGACCAGTTTCTGAGGAAGAATAGAAAAAGCAGTTCTTACACATGTTTTGAGAAAAAAATTAAATTAGCATTCTCTAATACATAGTCATTTGTCTGCACAGAATGGCTACCATAACACACTCTAGAGCAAATAAGATTCTTAATAATAGTTCTTAAAATAAAAATGTGAGTGTTGAATGGTACCTTGACAGAAAAGCCATAGAAAAATGAAGGTTTTTGGTATTTTATTGGCAAATGTAAACTTGTGGGTCTGTGATCAACTTGTAAACAGATATGGGAGGGCTTATTATGTCCATTTATGATTAGGACACTGACATTCACTAAAATTAGGTAACAAGAATAAGAACTCACAGCAGAAAAGATTTGAGTTTTCAAAGTGACTAATTCAGCTTTGAAATTAGCATTTAAAAATCTAGAGCTATTATGATACTCTTGGTTTACAATGTTTTTAATCAATAAAATTATTTGATTAAATACTTTCCTATTACACCACATGATATAATGCTACAATTCTTTTTTTATTATTATTATACTTTAAGTTTTAGGGTACATGTGCACAACGTGCAGGTTTGTTACATATGTATACATGTGCCATGTTGGTGTGCTGCACCCAGTAACTCGTCATTTAATATTAGGTATATCTCCTAATGCTATCCCTCCCCTCTCCCCCCACCCCACAACAGGCCCCGGTGTGTGATGTTCCCCTTCCTGTGTCCATGTGTTCTCATTGTTCAATTCCCACCTATGAGTGAGAACATGCGATGTTTCGTTTTTTGTCCTTGTGATAGTTTGCTGAGAATGATGGCTTCCAGCTTCATCCATGTCCTTACAAAGGACATGAACTCATACTTTTTATGGCTGCATAGTATTCCATGGTTTATATGTGCCACATTTTCTTAATCCAGTCTATCATTGTTGGACATTTGGCTTGGTTCCAAGTCTTTGCTATTGTGAATAGTGCCTCAATAAACATAACGTGTGTATATGTCTTTAGAGCAGCATGTTTTATAATCCTTTGGGTATATACCCAGTAATGGGATGGTTGAGTCAAATGGTATTTCTACTTCTAGATCCCTGAGGAATCGCCACACTGACTTCCACAATGGTTGAAGTGGTTTACAGTCCCACCAACAGTGTAAAAGTGTTCCTATTTCTCCACATCCTCTCCAGCACCTGTTGTTTCCTGATTTTTTAATGATCACCATTCTAACTGGTGTGAGATGGTATCTCATTGTGGTTTTGATTTGATAATGCTATAATTCTTTTAAATATTTGTTATCAGTCACCTATGAATGGGACAACATATCACCTTTAGGAAATGTTAACTTTTAATAAAAACTGTCTCTCCAAAATATCAGTTGAGCTAATTATAGGTATCTCAAAAAATATACTAACATCCATTATATGAAGATAAGAATTGAATTAAGATTCAGCTGGAGAAAGAGGAAGGAAAATCTGTAAAGATAATGACAAATTGTAATGAAACTTTCATTAGCCCCGTTTTTTCTCTGGTTATATATAACAGGTCAGATGAGTAATCTCTTGCTATGGCTTGCCATTTTCACTTTACATATTATCAGACATTAATCAGTCCTCCAAAGGGATTATAAAAAAGAAACCAAAGAAAACCAGCATATGCTTCCCTTGAAAAAGACACTTTTAATTACATCATAAGTGAAACAGTAAATTGCAAATGCTTTTGTGAAATGATAAACTGTCCACAGAATGTGATAAAAATATTTTTGATCTTAGGTCTTTTCTCCTGTATTTCATGTGTTACAAAAAGCTACTTCAACACTGAATAATACAAATGATAACTAATCTACAATGAAAAAGTTGTATATCAGTGTGTTTAATGTGAATATAGTCTATGAACTCTGGCAGAGGTTTTATACATTTGATAAAATTTCTAACATCTACATAAACAATTATATAATAATCCTAATTTGTTTACTTCTAAGTTCATTTTTTTCCAAATTCAGATCAGTCTTAATTGACTAAAAATCTTAGGAAATTTTAAAGCTAAGCATTAAAAAGAAAAATGTGAAAGGATAAATACAACATACACAGAGAGTTTGAGTACTACAAATCCATTATGATGAGAAAAGGATGTCATAGTAAAACCAGAAAATCGTTTAGTATAGCAATTCTTATAACTTGCAGATGTATTAAATTGTCTCTCAAGCTTTCACGCTTAACTACCCTCTTCAGTTATTTCATAATATTTCCTTATATAATTACTTTCTTGCCTACTACTATGACTCCTTACCCCTTTCTCCCTTCATTTTATTCCCCTGGCACAACTTCAGCCTTTGTTAAATTGGACTATCTGCCTATTCTGCTCTTACACTGCAAGTGTAAAAAAACAAAAACACTTGTATAGCCAGATTTAGCCTGAAGCAAGATAGTTTTTCACACTGGGACTACATCTCTAGATGCTAAAAACTTCATGATTTTAACTCACAGCCTATGACTGTCAGTTCAGAACAATTTTCAACGTGTAATTTTATATTACCTATAATTTCGAACTTAGTTCAATGGGTAGGTTCACATTTATGAAAGAATTTTCCTAATACCCATTATTACAATGAATAGCAAGTAAAATATGTTATATTTTGATAATTGATTTGATACTCTAAGAGCAAAACAATGTTATCAGTATAAAAATTCATCCCACTTATTTACAACTTTACAACTTTCTGTAATTTTAGCATGATTTATCTCAGAAACCTAACATAGAAAAAAGTTGCTGAAATGAATATTCTTCCATTACAGTTGAGAAAATGTGTCATATATATCTATTAAATTATACATTAGAAGACTTTATATTCACATCATAATTAATTACATTTTAAAGCCTTTTATAGTGTTTGACATATAATAAAAGATATATTTTTAAATAAAGTAAAAATATTTTTAATAATATATGTATACAGCCCCAATCTTTGTATTACAAGACGTAACAATAAAGGGGATTATTCTAAGATTCCAGGATACACTTTTTGGAAAATAATAGGCAACTGGACAACATAGTTTTGTTCCTTATTTGAAGAATATAGAAAAGACTATAATGTAAAAATACCCACCCCAACCTCCTGACGGTGCTCTGCAGTTTGAAGAGCTGTAGCATAAGTAGCACTATACCTAAATGCCTACTCTTCTATATTGTATGAATTCAAGGATACTCTGCCTAATGTTAAAAATCAAATTTATTTCTATCAATATCACTAAATGCCCACAGGAGAAAGCTGGAAAGATCTAAAGTTGACACTCTAACATCACAATTAAAAGAACTAGAGAAGCAAAAGCAAACAAATTCAAAAGCTAGCAGAAGACAAGAAATAACTAACATCAGAACAGAACTGAAGGAGATACAGACACAAAAAACCCTTCAAAAACCTCAATGAATCTAGGAGCTGTTTTTTTGAAAAGATTAACAAAATAGACCACTAGCCAGATTAATAAAGAAGAAAAGAGAGAAGAATCAAATAGACACAATAAAAAATGGCAAAGTGGATATCACCACTGATCCCACAGAAATACAAACTACCATCAGAGAATACTATAAACACCTCTATGCAAATAAACTAGAAAATCTGGACATATACACCCTTCCAAGACTAAAGAAGAAAGAAGTCAAACCTCTGAATAGACCAGTAACAAACTCTGAAATTGAGGCAGTAATTAATAGCCTACCAACCAAAAAAAAGCCCAGGATCAGATGGATTCACAGCCGAATTCTACCAGTGGTACAAAGAGGAGCTGGTACCATTCCTTCTGAAACTATTCCAAAAAGTAGAAAAGAGGGACTCCTCTCTAACTCATTTTATGAGGGCAGCATCATCCTGATACCAAAACCTGGTAGAGACACAACAAAAAAAGAAATTTCAGCCCAATATTCCTAATGAACATCAATGTGGAAATCCTCAATAAAACATTGGCAAACCAAATCCAGCAGCACATCAAAAAGCTTATCCACCACCAGCTTATCAGATCAGCTTCATCCCTGGTATTCAAGGCTGGTTCAACATATGCAAATCAATAAACATAATCCATCACATAAACAGAACTAGTGACAAAAACCACATGATTACCTCAATAGATGCAAAAACGACCTTCAACAAAATTCAACACCCCACCCCTTCATGCTAAAAACTCTCAATAAGCTAGGTACTGATGGAACTTATCTCAAAATAATAAGAGCTATTTATGAAAAACCCACAGCCAGTATCATACTGAATGGGCAAAAGGTGGAAGCATTCCCTTTGAAAACCGGCACAAGACAAGGATGCCCTCTCTCACCACTCCTATTCAACATGATATTGGAAGTTCTAGAGAGGGCAATCAGGCATGAGGAAGAAATAAAGAGCATTCGAATAGGCAGAGAGGAAGTCAAATTGTCTCTGTTTGCAGGAGACACGACTGTATATATAGCAAACCCTATCGTCTCAGCCCAAAATCTCCTTAATAAGCAACTTCAGCAAACTCTCAGGATACAAAATCAATGTGCAAAAATCACAAGCATTCCTATACACCAATAACAGACAAACAGAGAGCCAAATGATGAGTGAACTTCCATTCACGATTGCTACAAAGAGAATAAAATACCTAGGAACATATCTCACAAGGGATGTGAAGGACCGTTTCAAGGAAAACTGCAAACTACTGCTCAAGGAAATAACAGAGGACACAAACAAATGGAAAAGGCGTCCATGCTCATGGATAGGAAGAATCAATATCATGAAAATGGCCATAGTGCCCAAAGTAATGTGTAGATTCAATGATATCCCCATCAAGATACCATTAACTTTCTTCACACATTTAGAAAAAATTACTTTAAATTTCATATGGAACCAAAAAAGAGCCCGTACAGCAAAGACAATCCTAAGAAAAAAGAACAAAGCTGGAGGCATCATGCTACCCTACTTTAAACTATACTACAAGGCTACAGTAACCAAAACAGCATGGTACTGGTACCAAAACGGATATATAGACCAGTGGAACACAACAGAGGCCTCAATTATAATGCCACACATCTACAACCATCTGGTCTTTGAGAAACCTGACAAAAACAAGCCATGGGGAAAGAATTTTCTATTTAATAAACGCTATTTGCAAAACTGGCTAGCCATATGCAGAAAACTGAAACTGGACCCCTTCCTTACACCTTATACAAAAATTAACTCAAGTTGGATTAAAGACTTAAACGTAAGACCTAAAACCACAAAAACCCTTGAAGAAAACCTAGGCAATACCATTCGGGACATAGGCATGGGCAAAGACTTCATGACTAAAACACCAAAAGCAATGACAACAAAAGCCAAAATTGACAAATGAGATCTAATTAAACTAAAGAGCTTCTGCACAGCAAAAGAAACTATCATCAGACTGAACAGACAACCTACAGAAAGGGATATTTTTGCAATCTATCTGTCTGATAAAGGGCCAACATCAAGAATCTACAAAGAACTTAAACTAATTTACAAGAAAAGAACAGACAAACCCATCAAAAAGTGGGTGAAGGATATGCACAGACACTTTGCAAAAGAAGACATTTATGCAGCCGACAAACATATGAAGAAAATCTCATCATTGCTGGTCATTAGAGAAACGCAAATCAAAACCACAAAGAGATACCATCTCATGCCATTTAGAATGGCAATCACTAAAAGGTCAGGAAACAACAGGTGCTACAGAGGATGTGGAGAAATTGGAATGCTTTTACACTGTTGGTGGGAGTGTAAATTAGTTCAACCATTGTGGAAGACAGTGTGGCAATTCCTGAGGGATCTAGAACCAGAAATACCATTTGACCCAGCAATCGCATTACTGGGTATATACCAAAAGGATTATATATCATTCTACTATAAAGACACATGTACATGTATGTTTACTGCAGCACTATTCACAGTAGCAAAGACTTGGAACTAGCTCAAATGCCCATCAATGATAGACTGGATACAGAAAATGTGGCACATATACCCCATGGAATACTATGCAGCCGTAAAAAAGGATGAGTTCATGTCCTTTGCAGGGACATGGATGAAGCTGGAAACCATCACTCTCAGCAAACTAACACAGGAACAGAAAACCAAACACCACAGGTTCTCACTCGTAAGTGGAAGTTGAACAATGAGAACACACGGACACGGGGAGGGGAACATCACACACTGGGACCTGTCCGGGCTTGGGGAGGGGGGTTGGGTGCTAGGGGAGCGATAGCATTAGGAGAAATACCTAATGTAGATGATGAGTTGATGGGTGCAGGAAACCACCATAGCAAGTGTATACCTATGTTACAAACCTGCACATTCTGTACATGTATTCAAGAACTTAACGTATAATAAAAAGCATATATAAGATACAAAATTATCTATATATGATGATAGAACTATATACAATATTTGCAAGCAATAAAAGAAAACAAAAATATCATTAAAAAGAGTTCCCCTTTCTCTACATCCTCACCAGCATCTGTTATATTTGCCTTTTTTATAACAGCCATTCTAACTGGGATGACATGATGTCTCATTGTGGTCTGATTTGAATTTCCCTGATGATTATGATGTTGAATACTTTTATCTGGTGCCCATTTGCATGTCTTGTTTTGATAGGTATCTATTCAGCTCATTTGCCCATTTGTAAATCAGATTATTTGTTTTTCTGCTATTGAGTTATTTCAGTTCCTTGGATATTCTGGATATTAATCCTTTGTCAGATGAATAGTTTGAAAATATTCTCTCTAAAAAAATTATATTTAGAGTTTCTTGGAAACTACCATAGTTTTAAAGCTAACGGTGTTCCTCTGACCAAGGGTGATGGCAGTTATTATCTACTAGAAATTTCCCTCTGCTATGTTTCTTTCAACTCCTCAGGCAATTTTTGCCTCCACTAGACTCTACTTAGAACAGCCCCTCTAGATGACACAGTTATTTCTTTTCCACATATCCAATGAGAAAAACATAATTAACTGGTGAGTAGATTTTTAAGACAGTTTGACTGTGAGTATAACATTATGCTTTTCAACCTGATAACTGCATTTTCATAAAGAAATAGTTTTTTTTTCCCTTTGCAAATCCAATCCAGTCCCAAACTGCATAAGAATTCCTGTAAAGGACTGTTTTGAATTTTTAGTTTGGTTATGGTATAACCATGATTATACTATGGTTACGGTTTTGGTTATGGTTATACCATAACCAAAGTAAAAATCTAAACAGCCCTTTACAGGAATTCTTATGCTGTTCGCATATGTGTGCTTGAGTGTTTTGCTCTGCCAAATTTGTTTTCAACTTCATTCGTGTATTGCAGAGCACTCACAATAGTCCTGGCCTCCTGATCAAGTACCTGAAGAAGTAAATTGCTTGCTTTCTTGATTCCCTTAGCTCATTTGCTGTTGTATAGTTTAATCAAGTAACATAGATTTGCATTTTTTCTCTTATAAGCTATAAACTCAACAGTTCTATCTGAATAATTTATACCATGTTTAATTTAAAAAATCGTTGGAAGCTGTTTCATTTCATAACTCAGTTGACTAGTGATCAATTTTCAACTTATCTTACATCTTGGCTAAAAACTTCATGCCTTGCCTTAAAGCAAATCTGCTCCCCGTCCTTGGCCCAATTCTTTCTTTCCTATCTTTTAATTATTTCAGAAAGTTTTAATTTGTGATCTTCATTTAGGCTCAACTAGTATGTAAAATAATCTTTGGGTAATACTCAAGTTTAAGGAAGGATTCAGTTTATTGTCTGCACATTTAAAAGGGTATTTAAAATCATTTATTTTTAACAGGTTACTTTTGTGTGGAATTTTTCATTAATTATATAAATTAATTCTTGAGAGAATGAATCTCATTTTTACATGAAGCATCAGCCCAATGTACTAGTAGTCTTTTGATTTTTGCTTCTGTTTTGTTGTTGCTCTAGCTCTTTTGCACTGAAGTGTAAGAAAACAGTTCCAGAAACTGTGTAGGACTAATATGTCTATTTACTAGTGATACATTTTTTTCTGTAAATCAACTATGGCATAAGCATTACTCACATTACTGAAGGGCATCCCAAATAGTCTAGTTCAAGGTTAGGCAGATGTTTTCTAGAAAGGGTCACTTAGTAAATACTTGAAGCTTTGCAAGGCAAAAGGCAAAATTGAGGGTATAATGTAGGTACTGTTATATGATTTTAACATGTGATGAAGTGTTATTCTTTCGGATTTTTCAAACATTTAAAAATGTTAAAAAAAAAAAAAAAAACTCCTTAGCTTGCGGGCTGTACAAAAACAGAGGAGTAGATCCACGCTCTGGTTCACTAAAATTAGCAGGAGTAGAAAAGGTTACTAATCTTCTACTATTAGAAAGTCAATGACTTTTCCGTATTGCCAGTTCATGTCATTGTGGTGGGAGGTCAAGTTATTTACACATCTGCAATGTATAAAAGCTTGACCTCTAGAATCAGAAAGACATGGATTTGAATTACATCTCTTCCACTTATTAACCATGTAACCTTAGATAAACCTCAATTTCCTTACTTGTGTAACAGGAATAACAATACCTACCTCAAAATGATTGTCAGGGGATAACGCTTGCATTTTATCCAAAAACAGACCTTAACTTACACTGAACCCTTAATAAATGACAGCCATTATTAAATAACATAAAAAGGTAGCATATGTATCCTTGTATCCAGCATCTAGCACCATGTATACCAAATAACAGTTCAGTTTTCTTTTTTAATTCACAGCTTTTTCCTTTATTAAACTAATATTAATTGCATGCATATGTGCCAAGCACCATATTAGGTACTTAATAGATATTCCTGAATGAATAAATCTCAGTGGTGAGCTGAATTTAGATTTAGAAAAAAATAAACCATTCTATGCTCATGAATAGAAAATGTATGACCAGGTCAGGCATGGTGGCTCGTGCCTGTAATCACAGCACTTTGGGAGGCCAAAGTGGGCAGGTCACTTGAGGTCAGGAGTTCGAGACTAGCCTGGTCACCATGGTGAAACCCACCTCTATTAAAAATACACAAAAAATTAGCAGGGCATGGTGGTGCACACCTGTAATCCTAGCTACTTGAGAGACTGAGGTGGGAGAACCATTTGAACCCAGTAGGCAGAGGTGGCAGTGAGCCAAGATCGTGCCGCTGCACTCCAGCCTGACCAACAAAGTGAGACTCCATTTCAAGAAAAAAAAAATAGAAAATGTATGACCAAAAGAAGTTCTCAGAAAATCTTACCAGTTTATAGTTCTAATGTCATCTCACCCAAAACATTTAAAAAGTATTGACAATGGAGACAAGATGGTGATGATGATAGCTACCATTTACTGAATACTCACTACCTGCCACACACTATACAATGAATATTTATATATGTGTGTTTTAATTCATTTCTTATTAAAATATCCTTTTAGTTAGACACTTTTGTGAGAAACTGAAGCTCAGAGAAGCTATGTACCTTGCCCAATGTTACACAATTAGTAAATAATAGAGGCAAAATTCCAAGTAGGATGTCTGATGCCAGAGCCGACATTCTGAATCACTGTAGAGATCTTTTGACCATAAAGATATAGTAACATATAAAGCTTTAGAGACATGTATGAGGCTAGCTGGGAAACAGAGTGATGAAAAAAAGGGAGTATTAAGATGTAAATAAATTATTTGAAACTCCAAAACAACTAGCTAACAACACTATGTCAGGAACAAAACATCATGTATCAATATCAATCTTGAATGTAAATAACCTAAATACCCCACTTAAAACATATAGTGGCAAATTGGATAAATAAATAAGATCTAATCATTTGACCTCTTCAAGATACCCACATTGCATGTAATGACATCCATAGGTTCAAAGTAAAGGGTTGTAGAAATATCTATTACATAAATTGAAAACAAAAAAGATCATGTTAAACAACAACATCAAGTCAGAAATAAAAAAAAAATTAATGAATGAAAGTAGAAATGTAACATACAAAAACCTCTGGGATACAGCAAAGGCAATGGTAAGAGGAATGTTTATAGCATTAAAGTTTATAGCATTAAATCTTCAACAAAATACTATCAAACTGAATCCAGAAATACATCAAAAAGATAATCCACCATGATCAAATGTGTTTTTTTTCCAGAGATGCAAGGATGGCTCAATATACATAAATCAGTAAACACAAAAAATATAAGATTTTTAATTAGAAACCTAGTGGTGCATCTCAAAGAACTAGAAAAACAAGAACAAATGAAAGGTAGCAGAAAAAAGTAACAAATATTACAGCAGAACTAAATGAGGTTGAGGCCAAAAAAAAAAAGATAAAAAGAATTAATGAAGTAAAAGTTTGGTTCTTTGAAAGGATAAAGAAAATTCATAGAACGCTAGTTGGGCTAAGAAAAAAAAAGAGAGAAGACTCAAATAAGTAGAATCAGAAATGATCAAGATGACATCACAACCGATACAGAGACTAGTATGATGACCTTTATGAACGCAAGCTAGAACACCTAGAGGAAATGGATAAAGTCCTGTAAACATACAAACTTCCAGGATTGAACTAGGAAGAAATAGAAACCCTGAATAGACCAACAATGAGTAATGAAATTGAATCAGTAATAAGAAAAAATCTCCTAACAAAAAGAAAGCCTAGTACCACATGAATTCAAAGCCAAATTTTACCAGATGTACAAAGAAAAGCCGGTACCAACCTTACTAAAACTATTCCAAAAAATCAAGGAGAAGGAATGTCTTCCTAACTCACTCTACAAATCCTGTATCACCATGATACCAAAATCAGGGAAGGACAAAAT